>NC_000004.12:135588047-135891077 GCF_000001405.40 Homo sapiens | reverse complement strand
ATGAAGTTGGTATTATCTCAGTGAGAAGTAGATTAGTTATTTAACCAATAGTGAAATTCTCAACACGAACATTAGTGACATATCGGGCCTGTCATAATATACAACCAGAATTTTCCAAATTAGAAATACCTGTATATGGTGGATTAAGGAGTATTCATATACTTTAAATATTACAGTCATTTGAAAACTAGCAACTTACTAAAATCAAGGTTAAGTAGCACAAACTCTGATCCCACAATTAAACAACAGATGATCACTTTCAAAAATGCAAAGTACCTATATATTAACAAATATATATTTATTCATTTAAACGCACACACAAACACACACGATCACCCCAAAAAGATACACTGTGAGACAAAGAAGCAAAGAAACGCCCATCATTAAAGACAGTTTTTTTTTTAAATGTCAAAACCAACAATGGTAGATATATACCAGTTGATTTAGAGAGATTTCTGTGATTAAGTTAATTATGAGTAAGATGACCCAATTTTTGCACAGTCATAATTGATCTTAATTCTTCCTGTGTTTTCAGATATACAAATTAAGGGCAAATACAAGAAGGTATCTTAGTGAACTAACGTGGATTAACAACTGGTAGCAGTTTTATGAAAAGTAAGAGAAGAGGCTACTTACACAAATTTTAAAAAGGAAAGTAAAAGGAAAAAAACTACTAAAAAAAGCACATATGATAGTATCTTATTTACATATTTATCCATAGATTTAAAGATTGTATTGTTAAATGTTTGTATAAAGAAATTTTAAAGGACCATAAAAATAAAAGTTCATTCTTGAATAATTGAAATTCCTCTCTTTGATATTGAGCTGTGTAATTGTTCTGTCAGATTTCTTTTTTTTACTATAGATTTTTACTCTAGGCAAGTCAATCAAACTGAGTATTAGTTGCAGTAATTCAATTCACTTCATAGTGAATATGTTTCTTTATTTTATGTAGTTTTATTTTTATATATGTTTAATATTAATATGTATTTATCAGTGAATAGAACATATATACATATTTCCATAATTCCTTCTAAAAATGTATCTTTCAGTATATATCTCCTTCATTTCAACTATATTAAATTTTACAAGAGCTGAATAAAGTTATAATATTGAATGAGATTAAGTGAAACATATAAAAGATTAAGAACAATGGCAATGTCTCTTACTAGTTTTCAAGAGACACTAATAAGACATTACTTTTGACTCTACCAAAGATTAAGGGGACAAATCTATAATTTCTAAGAACCATAAAGCATACTAAATAATGGTATCATTAAAGACAGTGTCTTTGTCTAATTTGATTGGAAATATATATTTATATATTTGATTATATATGCATACATATATGCTTCTATGATGAGTTCACTACACCTGAAAATTAGATTTCTTGGTAGACTGTGCAAAGCAATTTTAGAGGAGGACAAGCTTGCTGCATCAAACCTCAACTTTCTGTCTAGAAACAATCATAACAACCAGAAAGTGACATTGAAGGACAAAAATCGCCGTTTGAGAATGTTAGTATACGAACAAATCCTGTAACAAATTTCCACTTTTGGCAAAGGTATCTCTCTAAATTTAGTATAATTTTACAATCTTTTTATTCTCTTTTAAAATATTTTATTAATTTTTGAATATGCACAAATTATTTTTGTTAATTTTAAATACAAATAATAAAACACATAACTGTATATCTTCTTTGAAATGCGGGTAATACAAATTCCTAATTTTCAATATTAGATCCCCTGTATGCCTCCTTTCCAATTCTTTTTCCCTTTCTCTGTTCAGGAGAGAAGTATTACCCCAATTCTATGTTAATCACTCCCTTTCTTTTTTATGTGGTGTTGGAATATATATGTGCATTCCTTTTTATCTTACTTGGCTTTGTAGTTGGAATTGTATATAAATTAAATCACAATGTATGTATTCTACAACTTTCTTTGGCTCAAAATTTTATTTTGCTTTATGTTATTATTTTTCTTTCCATTGTAATAACTTTGGTTTGTTTGATATTATTTTGCTTTCTTTTTCTACTTTCTTCCTCTAATTTAGAAATTAAATACACTATTTTTGTTTTGTTTAAAGTGTTTACCATCAGCATTTCAACATGCATAATTTAAAAGATTTAAATTTATTACATAGCCTTAATATTGTTTTTAGAAAAGAAATAAAATCAATAATTTAAGTCACATTTGCACATCAAATTTTGCTATTATTATTTTGCTATTATTCTTTAGTTCACAGTCATACTAAGAGAATAGTCTTTACAGGTGTCAGCTTTGTTTTTTGAGTCTTCTATCAGATTTCCCATAAAGTCAGTTTCTACACTTTGTCTTCTGCTACACGGTAGCAAAAATTGAAGGTTAAAATCAATAGAATTTGACGACCGTTTTAGAATCTTTGCCTCTTTTTACTTTCCGTTTGGCCTCTGAGAATTTTTAAATTATTTTTCATATCATTGATAGATGCAAAGTTATGTTTTTATGTTATGCTTTTTTTTATAGTTTCTTGGTATTTTTATTTGTTTTGCAGCAGTACTATTAGGGTATATCATTCTTTAACAAGAGACTGGTTTAATATGTTCTTTCCATTTCTACTATATATGTTTTAATTACCTCATATTTGTATTTTTGTAGAATTCTCCAAACAATTAAATAATCCCAAAGTTCCACTTTCAAAATTGCTTTTCTCCTAATCTGTACATCTAATGAGTTCCTGTAAACTTCAAGCTAATATTGATATTATACAACCCTATTATATAAAATATTTACTTTCTGTTATAGGTAAAAATTTCCCTTCTCAACACTTAAAGTCCTAACCACCAGAATCTCTGAATATGACCTTATTTGGAGACAGAGTCATTGCAAATATAATTAGTTAAGATGAAGCAATAATTGCATAGAGTAAGCCCTTAATGACTGCTATTGTTATAAAAAGAGAAGAGACAGAGACACAGAGCAAAGATTTCTGCATGTGGACGTAGGCAGAGCTCGCACTTACGCATTTATAATCCAAAGAAGGCCAAGGGTAACTGGTAACTCTCAGAAGCAGAAAAAGAAGCTTGGGACGGACTCCCCTTCAGAGCTCTGTAGGGACCAATTTTGCTGGTATGTGATTTTGAAATTCTAGTCTCCAGAACTGTGAGAGAACAAATTTCTGTTGTTTTAAACCATCCAAGTTGTGGTAAACTGTTACTGCAGCTATAGAAAATCAATACATTTGTCAAATCTAATGTATTTTCTTACAGATATTTTTCATGAAAAGCCATCTAACCAATACTCTCATATGAAAGATCTACCATAATTACACTATTTTCTACTTTTTAATATCATGTTTCTATTCTTACCAATTCTGTTCTTTTCTCAACCAATCCATTCTGCCATATTATCTTCTTTATCTACTAAATACAATATGATTTTGAAGTTCTAGTCTCCAGAACTGTCAGAGACCAAATTTCTGTTCTTGTAAACTATCCAAGTTGTGGTAATCTGTTACTGCAGCTATAGAAAACTAATACATTTGCCAAATCTAATGTATATTCTTACAGACATTTTTCATGAAAAGCTATCCAACCAATACTCTCATATGAAAAAAATCTACCATAATTACACTACTTTCTACTTTTTAATATCACGTTTCAATTCTTACCAATTCTGTTCTTTTCTCAACCAATCCATTATGCCATATTATCTTCTTTGTCTACTAAATTTAATATCAACAGCTCCTTTTCCTACACTATGTTACATGTGTTCACATATTATTATTTTCTCAGAATCGTTATGTTTATATGTCTAGTATAATATGTTTTATATTTGTACCTCACAAAATGTAGTGCTCTGCTGTACTCATTCAATGCATTTCATTTAATTTCAGCACAATTCTGTAAAATGACTCTGTGACTTGTTGATAAATCAGGCCCCAAATAAAATACATTAAACCTTTTTCCAAATAAAGGGATGTTCCCCTATTACTAATGCAAACAAGAATATTCCAAATTTAATGTTGCAAACTGTTGACTCCATGTTTCACAAAGAAAAATTGACTTATGAACTTAAACATTTCTGGTTTTTAACAGGCAATTAGGAACGGCAGTTATCATTTTTCTTTTGTCAGCTGTTGCATGTGCTTCTGGCACTATCATTTGTCTTAAACATTTTTTCTCTCTGATTTTGACCAAGTTGGGGTGTTAACCATTAAAATATTTGTTGAATAATATGCAAACTCTGCAAAGAGAAGTTTAGTGCATTTGTGTAACTACAGCTGTGGATATTTAATTCTAAATGAGAAAAAAGATAATTCTGTCATGAGCTGTCTTTTATTAGTATGAACCAATAACTAGCTGAATATTTTATATTTGACCAAAATCCATCTAATTTTTGACATTTGTAATTGTGTGTGGTAGTATTATATATTTTAAAAATGCTGTTTTGCAGTCTGTTCTTAGAAATATTTCACTTCAAGTATTACTATTCTTTCATTTTTGTAAGTTTTAAAACACATGTAAAAATAAATGAGGTCCAAATAAGTTATTTGCCCATGATCACACAGACAGACAGTGAGAAAAGAAATAGTTAGTATTCTTTATTACTAATAGTATTCCTACTCTTGGTTATTTCTTTTCTTGGACACAAAGATATTTCAGACATCTATACATGTATGTGCAAATCTGCAATATGTTTAACACTGTTCTGCTAGCTAAATCGCTGTTTGATTATTTATTTTTCCCAAGTTTTGCTTTGTTGTACTTTGAGGTTTTCTAAATTCATAATTTTGCTTTCTTTCTCAAGATCCTGTATCTAACTAACCTCTGAAAATGCCATGTCAAGAAAGTTTTGGTACAATATTTATGAGGTATACAAGATCTTTTGTTTAGTTGTGATCTTAGGCTTAGAGCAAGAAGGGATGCAATCTCTTCACAGCGTCTGCTATTTCATTCTGTATTTACCAAGCTTAGTGATTATATACTGTGAATAGACACCTGGACAAAATCCTAGGCAATTTAATGTTTTTATGCCTCTGACATTCCAATTCATCCTCCAAGTCTCATTTGTTCATAAATAAATAATCTATTTTCAGATCACGGGTCCTTAAATAACTGAAACAGTTAAAACAAAAAGAACAAGGAGGATAAAATCTAGTATTCTAAAAAGATCCTCCAAAGACTATTTAGGTAATTGAATAGTCAATGAATGTTAACAAACCAAGATTTATTGAATTATATTTACATTGTGTTATAACTTTTTAAAATTGATTGTCTTACAGGATTTAACTGGTATAAAGATACTATGTCAAACCAAGCCACTAAGGCACATACTGAGCTATGAACTGAGCTGTTGGATTGATCATTTTGCCTTACCAAATATTTCATATTATACCTTTCCCCGTCCCAGTGGACACATGAGTGCACGCGCGCACGCACACACACACACACACACACACACACACACACACACAGGATGTATTCCATAAATGCCTTGGGTGTCACAGCATGCAAAGCAAATGAAAAACTGTTTCTTGAATTCTGGGAACAATTTAAAATCTATTAAACCCTGTTCATCCTTGAAGATGCTGTCTCTTCCAGATCCTTCAAGATTGGAAAAAGAAGGTGATGAGCATTTTTAAACTCAGTTCACTGAGCACTGAGCAATTGCTTAAGGGAAGGTGAGTTTGGCCTAAAAGACAATAACAAAACCATGATCAATTTGTTTTCTGGTTCATTGTTCTTTGTGCTATTACTACTGTGTGATATAAATCATTTTACAATGCTAGGAGTTGTTAAAATTAGCATTAATATTAAGAAATTTTCTATCTCTACCCAAGATGCTAGGGAAAAAAGAGAGTTTAGCTTATGCCTATGTCCTTTGTATTAGAAAATTACAATTACCATCTATGTATATGTGATGCAAAATCACTCATGTGTATAGTGCAACTGAAAACATCTGATGTGTGAAATTCAGCCATTGTCTGCCATTCTGTATACATGCTTAATCTGTCTAGTGGTTAGCCATTATTTTCAAACCCTGAAGCTCTACCCGAAACTCTATCTTCTGCCAAAAGTGTAATGTCACTTGAAAGTTATATGAATAGGACATTTTTGATTATGACATGGATATTTTGTCTGTTGCTGCTACAAGATGGTCAACATCACTGTTTTACTGATTTTTATGAGAAATCACTGTTTTATGAGAAATCACTGTTTTACTGATTTTTATGAGAAAAACATCCTATAGATTTTATGTTTCTCTTCATTTGTGTAACATATTTGAATGTATTATTTTAAGAAATTTCATGTAAAATCAAATGAAATGTTATTATGTACCATTTAATATTAACAAAATGGTCTTATATATCTTCATAATAAACTCATGTTAGACAATTTTATATTAAACCTTAGATTATGGTGAAGCCTGGTGAGGCTTTAAGGACGCAGGTCATAATAGAAAGAGAAAACCTGGTATAAGAGAGGCAGAAATAGAGAAATCAATAGCAGTTACCCATTAGAAGTTCACATTATAATATTTAATGAGTGTGACAAACTTAGGTTTCAGCTATGCCCAAAGCCCCTAAGCTAATAGAGACTTGTTCTAGTGAGGGAGGCATAGTCACAACATTTCCAAAGTGGACAGAATACATCATGGGAGACTTGTATTTAATTGGATTGGGTTGTGATAAAAAAAAATAGGAAATGAGGATTACAGAGTGTATCCCCTAAAAACAGAGGGCTTTAATGGTTTTTAGTGTTAGGTTGAAACAGGAGAGAGGACTAGAATAAAAGTCATAAATAGGTATACAAACGGGCAAGAAAAACAAGAGAGCAGGAGGAAGGTCATAGTTTGCTGACTTAATAGATACTCAGGACTCTGAACAGAGATCCAGGTAAATACTAGATGTAGTACAGAAAAATAATACCAAACACAGCAATCTGTGAGTCGGAGCCTATCTGCAGTATTTTTCCTTTAAAAAATATATTTTTAAGAATTGTTTTGGGGATCTGATACACTACATTAAAAATAGTTTTTGCTGAGATCTAAGAAGCAGCAGGAACTGTTTGTTGTTTAAAACAAATGTCAGTGAATTGATGGAGTTTGCTTCATTTGTTTAACATAACAAAACAAATCCTGGTAAAATCCTAGCTTTAGAATTCTGATTTCTTAGTTTATGGTGCACTCCCTCTGCTTTGCTGCATTCCAACAAAACATGGTGTCTCTGATTGCTTGACCTTACGCATTTTGTTATTCTAATTAATAAGATTCTTTTATCTTACTGATAGTACTCTTAAAATAACTATAAAAGCAACGGCCATTTTTGGTAGCTGTAAGTACCAAAAAGAGACTACACTGATAAATAATAAGTAATTATTTCACTTTATACAAATCACACTTTTTTGTGTATTTTACTTTTATTGTGTTAATAATTAATAATTAATTTTAATTGACAATAATTGCATATATGAATGGGAAAGTAAGATATATTAGTCAAAGGTATATTGTTTCATTTAGACTGGAGGAATACGCTTTTGTGATCTATTGCACTGGATGGTGGCCAAAACACTAGTTTAGACTCTACTAGACCAGTGAGTTCTGTCGCACTTCATGAAAGGCAGTCTTGGTTGGTGTATAAGACAGGCTGGAAGGGGTGAATGGGCTCTTCTATCTCCCCTAAATATTGGGAGCATGAGTAAGAATTCATATAAATAAGGCCGGGCGCGGTGGCTCACGCCTGTAATCCCAGCACTTTGGGAGGCCGAGGCGGGCGGATCACGAGGTCAGGAGATCGAGACCATCCCGGCTAAAACGGTGAAACCCCGTCTCTACTAAAAATACAAAAAATTAGCCGGGCGTAGTGGCGGGCGCCTGTAGTCCCAGCTACTTG
Organism: Homo sapiens; assembly: GCF_000001405.40. NCBI lineage: Eukaryota > Metazoa > Chordata > Mammalia > Primates > Hominidae > Homo > Homo sapiens. Next base: position 135,883,205 of record NC_000004.12, on the reverse strand, counting down.
GGAGGCTGAGGCAGGAGAATGGCGTGAACCCGGGAGGCGGAGCTTGCAGTGAGCCGAGATCCCGCCACTGCCCTCCAGCCTGGGCGACAGAGCGAGAAAAAAAAAAAAAAAAAAAAAAAAAAAAGAATTCATATAAATAAAGTGTTCTGTAATCAAATATTTTAAAACTATAATTTTAAGTCAAGAATACAGGAAATTACATTTTGATATCTTAGTGCAATCTTGTTATTGTTGTCATATGCCGTCAATATATCTGCAATTTATGAGATACTTTCACCCATGATATGCAATAAAAATATTTGTTTTGTATTGTCTTTGAGATGAAGAAAATAGAATTCTAATTCATAGCCAATTAAAATTAAAGAACATGTGATTACCAATTACCAAAGATTGGCCTTTTTTAATTTTTAATTTTTATTTTTTTAAAGGAGAGAAAAGAACTTTAGACATAGAGGTTAGGATCATGCCCCACAATCCCTTTAGTAGTTACACTTTCCCTTCTTATGTGTAGTAACTTACTGAACTCTTGCAACTACCTATGAGGAAACTATGATTGTTATACTCATTTTAGAGATGAGGAAGCCGAGACATAGAGCTTAACTTGCGCAAGGTCATACAGCTAATAATTATTGGAACTAGGACTCTAGGCAATGGGGCTACAAATTATCTGATTTTTATCTCAACGCTATGTGTAATCTAAAATTAGAAATCAGGAAATTTAATCAACAGTAGTTACTGTTTCAAAGTTTGAAGGACGTAGCAACAATCATAAAAAGTAATGCCTCAAATACATTGTCTCTTTTGTAAAGTGATAAACTTCTGTATTGAATAAACTGTGAGTTTTAAAGAGACATTGATAACCTACGGATAAGAGACTAGCCATATATATATAATTTTTAACCTATAGATAGGTAATTTTACCTATATATGTATATACACAGACATTAATTTCACACACACACAACACATATAGATGAAGATGTCATTCAATCTTTAAACTTAACTAATATATCCTTTAAAGCTGAAGTCCTGAATCATAACCTTCCTGAAGTTTTCATTAAAATCCAAAATTTTTAGCACATAGTGAATTCAATTTAATTATGATAGTAAACTTACATCACTGCAGGCTTAACTTTTGGAAAGTAACTGAATTATAAATTTAAAGCAAACAACTATTCTCTTCAAAAATAGTATGAATGTCTATCATGTTCGGGCTTGATAAGTCCAGCTCAATGTAAATCTCCCCTCCTCCTTTCTGGGAAATGAATGAAAAGATACTGAACTTCATTAGTAATTACTGAATGCTTATGCATATATACATACGTAAACAGACTGCAAGGTGTCCAAGAAGATGATGAGGAAATCAGATCATTTAAATAGCATAATAGCCTAAAGGGTCTCAGAGGAAAGCATGTTATTTAATAATAAAAGGGCAGATTCATTATGATGCTTCCATTTGCCTACTGAAAGCAACATCCACTGATATGCTGCATGACACCTCTTTCCCCCACCGTCACTGAGTTTTGAATAGTTATTAAAGTTGCTAGTAGTTACTAATAACGAATAGTACTTATTAGTAACATTAGATAATGTATTTCCAAAAAAAATTTGCCTATGAGAAAAGTGGCCTAAAAATTAGCTTTTTATCATATGGCATGATTTAGTAGAATGTATTGAAAACTTAATCACTCTACAGATACATAATCTATGTGGAATATAAAACCTAACAAATAAAAAAATAAGAGGCTTAATTATTTATATTTAAAATAAGAGAAGAGACTCCCCCCTTTCCTATAGCATTTATTTTATATTACTTATAGTTTTAAGTTTTTTTTTTTTGTCTTTTTGAAATGTATGGAAATCTTTTTAAAAGTTAAATAAGCTTCCTGTCAGGTTTAAAACCCAAGAATATCTTTCTCCAGGTCTTGGGAATCTTCTCTTTGAAATGTAGTCATCAAGAAAGATAATGCCTCTATATCCCAGTTTTTTGTGAAGGAAGGAGCCTAACTCAGTGGGTGCTTCACTCCAAGATGTAAAATTCTCTCATGAGAAGGATGTGAAAAGTTGATTTATTTATTAATTTTGGATTAGCCTATTAACAAACACAGATGGCCATTTCAATGACCAGTTGATTATAGAATGACCTTTGTGTGTTAAATGGTGCTGTCGGGGCCTCTTATTTGAGCACTAGTTATTGTTTATCTTGAGAACACATATGTAATGGATTAGATCTGCTTCACTATGCAAAATAATAGTATTTATTCCTGTCTTTGCATTCCCTTAGCAGATTGTCTGTGATGAACATCACATTCTGTTTTGATACCTATTCAGTTATAAAAGTTGTTTTCTTTTACTTCTACATTTGCAGAGAGGTTTTCTAGGGTGGGAGTAAATTTTATTTTTAATTATATTTACCCAACAGCATTTATGTCATAAAAGGGAAAATTCAAATGTTTCTCACCTGATGTAGACATCTTAAGTGTTGTATAGTGAATGTAATTTAAAACTATATCTTATTCATCTTTAATTCTTAGATCTTGCTCTTAGTGAAAGTGTTTTGCTGAGAAATACAAACTTTTTATATTACTTAAAATCGGGGCCTCCTACACTTCATAATAATTATTTTATGGAATTTAATGAATATTGCTAAAGTGGTTCATAAATTTCCTAAAAAATATCAGTTTTGATTATAAAGCAAAATAACAATAGTTTCTTTTTTCTCCCTCAACTTGATTAGTGATATAACTTGTATTGTTTGATAGTTTAATTGTGATGTTAAAATGCTGGTATTCTTTCTTGGGTCAAGACAGAAAGCAGTGAAGCATAGAAAGGGAAAGAAGTTTCCACAAGCCAGCTATGCTCTAGTGTTCATTGCATTTGACATGCTTCATGATGAATGAGGGATACACAGAGTACTATATGCAAGTTTACTGCAGCCAGACACAATTATATCAGTGAATATTTGAAATTATAGCTATTTATAAGTAATTCACAAATTGACAATTGCGTGCACACAAATCTTTAGGAAAATTGGAAAATTAATATTTATTAATATTTTTCCTAGCAATATTCCTCAAGATGAAATTATTCATTCAAATATTAGTATTCCAATGTCTTCTTTCCTTCTCAAGCACATAATCTACTTTTCCTATTTTATGTAATGAAAAATGAAAATAAAGCAATTTGCTGCAGAGTACTATTTTTGCACATTAGACCAGAGTATTTTCTCTTTTGACATATTACTTAAAAGTTTGTCTTAATATTAAAATGAAAATTCTTGTTTTCTGGTCTAGAAAAGCAAACAGATAAAATCAAGCAAAGAGACCTGGAACATAGATACTAGTAGTAGATACTAATAGTAGATAATACAACTTTGAAAACCAAGATGAAAGTTAACTTTGCACTATACTCTTCCAAACATTAATGTTTATAATCTTCCAGTAAAAATATAGGGACTTTTAAGCAAATGACTTCTTTAATGTGACCTAAAATTAAAACTGCAATGCAATTCTGACACTATTATTTACTAAAATTATCAGGGTAAGTCTAGCTAGATTTAATCTTTCATGTGTGTTCAGACATGGGGAACTGGAAAAGTAATTAGCTTAATTACAAAACTATACACAGGTCTTGAATGAGGCGATCTATCTATAGACTGATCTAGTATAGTGTTGTTCAACCATGGAATCCTGAGGAGTTATTTAACCTCTCTGACATTCAAATTCCACAACTATTAATATAAAATCCAAAGACTAATTCTGCTTTTCTTTCTTCATCTCATAATGTTTCTTTGTTCATTCATTCATTTTTATTGTTTTCTTTTTTCCCTGAATCAAATGAGATATTCTATGTAAAAACAACTTGTAAAATGTAAATCACTATATGGATATTGTTAAATTTGCCCCCTTTTCAAGCTTCCTGATGCATAAATACCCAGCCTGTGCTTTCTTAGCAGGTATTTGAGATACTGAGTGCTCAGTAGTTCCAGAATTTTTTCAGGACTTCAGTGGCTCTAAGAGTTTGACAGGAGACATGATTTAAGAAAGAGAAATTCAGAAGAGTCTGCATTTCATCAATGCTGAAAGAAACCTACTTCAAACAATTTTGGTTCTCCTTTTTGGCTCTACAATTGAAAGTTCTTTCTAGACTTTCTTAATTTGTCTATTCTTTCTTTTGTTTGAAAAATCTTTAGATTTGCTTAAACCCAAGGACAACAGTCATATATGTGTATTTGCACATTAGTACAAGGTAGGACATCACAGACATGAAACAGTAAAATTATGATTAGAGACAGCTCTCTCATCCACTCCAGGAAATGGTTTTGCGTTCTTTTAATACATATAGAGCAGAGCAATATGGAGATACAACTTGCCATGTAAATCCTCAAATAAGTTTGAATAGAAACAATAATAAAGTATCCATCCAAGTAAGTGTTGTTGTCCACTGTGTTAGTTCAGGTTGCTATAACAAAATAAGATAAACTGGGTCATTTATAAACAACAGATACATATTTCTCACAGTTCTGGAGTCTGGGAAGTCCAAGATCAAGGCACTGGCAAATTCAGTATTGCCCTCTTTCTGGTTCATAGATGGCCATCTTTTGACTGTGTCCTCACATGGCAGAAGGGCAGAACTCTGATCTCTACATCCCTTTATATAGAGTTAATCCCATTCATGAAGGCTTCACTTTCTTGGCCTCTAGTCAACTCCCAAAGGCCCTATCTCCTAACATCATCACATTGGGGGTTGGAGTTTCGACATATACATTTTGGAGGAACATAAAATCAGGCTATAGTACCGATAGACATGTGGAGTGATGAGAGCCCTGAGCAATTCTGTTGAACTCCCACCTTCAACAATTGCCTCAGAAAAACTTAGAGTTTGTAACATTTTTATTTGTGCAGCTCTTAATCTTTTTAAGAAAGCATTGAGACAAATAATAGTAAGAATGCCAAAGGAAGTTATAATAGAAATAAAAAAAGCATTAGTCTCAAAAAAGTATGAGATAAATATAACAAAGAAAATGAAGACCACAAATTCATAGGCCATAAATTAGTTTCTAATTATTTGCTTATTTTTTTAAAAGCAAGCAAGAGGAAACAGTACCATGTGGTCACTTATGGGATTATCATCATCAGAAAGAGAAAGAACATTGATTCCTTAGGGGATGTGAATTGTGCCTTGCATACCTCTTCTAAAAGCAATATGAACTTAAATCTTCACCTGAGGCTCTGTCTTAAGAGCACAGAGTGATACTTTTTTCTGCAGTCTTCATGCAGATAATGAAATCACAGATTTCAAATGGCTGGATAGTTTAACTTCTTTAGACAACAACCAAGTGCTGAATGCTAAAGTAAAGCTCAGTGAGCTTATGTCTGTGTGGTTTGGCTTTCAAGGACAGACAAAAAAATCACATAGAGGAGTGGCTATATTAAATATCATCTAAAGCATTTAACACAGATAATTTCTCCAAATCAATATATTTATGGGGACTGACGAACAACATAGAAAAGTGTCTTCTCAGATGACAGGCTAGAGCACTGACTCTGAAATGCTGATGGAAGGTGCATTCAGATGCATTAAAATTCAGACAATGCACAAATATAATTAGAAATTTCTCTAGAGTTGATGGTCGCTTTAATTTAGACCATAGGTGGTTCAAAGTAGTTGCTGAAGATCATGAAGAGGTCAAGCTTTAAGTACATATTTCTTTTGTACATGCACAGTTAGTCTGATTTTCATCAAAATTCCAGGGAAGGCATTTTAGTGTATGAATATTTCTTCTTGCTAACTCAAATTTCGAGATACATATTGTTTGTTATACTGTATGAACAAAATAATCATTCTCTATACCAGGCTTGTAATTCTTTTTTTGTCTTAAATCACTAAATATATAGTATTCATGTAGCTGTCAGACAAGAACTACTTAAAATACTGTTGTTTTATTAGCTATCATAAACTATAAGTATCAGCTAAAAACAACTTACATATAATTTACTGAAGTAGATTACAGGTCCTGCCTACTGCCCAAACAATAAGGAAGCAAAGTCCCTTTAATAAATACAGGAATGACATGATCTCAAATTTAGAACTGCCGCACGGTGGCAGGGTCTATTAAAACATCATTTGTACTTCTCCCTAGATTGTATTTCCCAGCCTTCCTTCCAGTTGAGAGCGGCCATGCAACTGAGTTATATTCAAGTAGAGGCAAATGAATGTAACCTATGAGCTTTTAGACACATAAAACAACTTTCCACCCATGGTCTTCTATGCTCTTTCCCTCTGCCACATGAACGTTGATGACTAGGAAATTCTTCCAGGAGACATATTGAAGTTGTATTGTCACTGACATTTTGCTATTGAATTACTACATAGAACTGAGCACTTCCTCCAACCTGTACATTCCTTGATCTGGATACTTGATTGAGAATAAGTTTATAGTCTAGAAACATTACACATTGAGGGGTATATTTGTTAGTAATGTTAGCCTGTTCAAGTCATTTAACTTTATCCTACACAAGAGACCTTGTTTCTACTGAGAAACATACTTCTTTATGTTTCTATGTATTTGTAAAAGCTGGTCTCTAACATTGTATTTACACATGGATTAGTTTGATTGTAGCTTGTATTCTCCAAATTCTTTGAATTCAACTCTTATCTCTCATCATGATCCAGCCACTCTGGTCTTCTTTCAGTTTCTCAAATACATCATACTCGCTTCTGCTTTAGAACTTGTGCACTTAATTTTTCTTTCTGCCATATTCCTCTTTCTTTCCTTCCTTCTATGCCTGACTCCTTCTCATCCTTTAGGTGTTAGTTCAAATGCCATCATATCTGAGATCTTCCTTTGCTCACATGAATATAGAACACCTATTGTTACACTCCCTCTATCGCATTATTGTGCTTATCATTATTAGAATTAATGCTGCTGTATTTTTGAGCCATATTTGTATGAGTGTGTATGTGTATTTGTTTCTCTCCCTGCTCGAAATCTAGTCTCTAATATGACAAGAATTTGTCTTTTTTATTCAGCAACTTTTCTTCAGTGTCAAGGGTAGATAATTCCAGGTACATATCAGGAGTCTGATAAATATGTTTTCAACTCAATATGAACATTGCTTTTTCAGATAGACCCAACAGGTAAAGAATTAGATACTTAAAGCCAGTAGGTTCTCAACAGATTTTAGTAATGGCAGTTTATTTCGAGTATTATTGAGCAAGATAATTTATCTAGCATAGAGCTGAATTACAAAGTTAGGTGAAGCAAATATTGACTGTGGCTCAAATTCTGTAAAAGTTTTATGTGTACCTATTTAACATTTTATAAAAATTGAAATGAATCTATAGTGTTTTACATAAACCATAACCCCTTAGTTAATGAAGAGTTTACTGCTTCTGAAGAAAGTAATTAAGTAAATGTGAATTACTCATTGATTTTGTTACAAAATTCAATAAACTTTTAAATATAGTATCATTGTATGTTGAAGTTAATGGAAATATAAAAACCATGTTTAACTTACTTAAAAATTAAAGTCATGAGGCTTTGTATTCAAACCTGATAAATTAAACATGCACTAATTAGGAAAATGTATAGAGCTGCATTCAATATATATTATATATTTTTGCATAAATGGTTTATAGGATGAATGAATGTGGAGTTGTTGAGCATGAAAAAAATAAATCTGGTTAATTTATAATTGATGTCTGCATTCATTATATAGTATACTTTGGGTTATATTATTTACAGGACAAATGCATTTTAAATTATAAGCATATATTTGAAAACCCATTTTTAAGAAGACTGTGTGTTAAGAATATATATATATATTTGTACATATATGCAGTTTTTTTTGTTTTTTGTTTTGTTTTGTTTTGTTTTGTTTTGTTTTGTTTTGTTTTTGGAGACAGGGTCTGTCTCTGTTGCCCAGGCTGAAGTGCAGTGGCCTGATCACAGCTCACTGCAGCCTCGACCTCTTGGGCTCAGGCAATCCTCCTACCTAAGCCTCCAAAGTAGCTAGAACCAAAGGAGTGCACATGTTTCTGTATATTTGTATATTTTCTTGAGGCAAGGTTTTGCCATGTTGCCCAGGTTGGTCTCGAATTCCTGTGGCTCAAGGGATCCACTTGCCTTAGCCAGTCAAATTGTTAGGAATACAGGTGTGACCCACTATGTCCAGTCAAAATATTTTTAAAAGATCAAAAAATGACAAAATAATATGTTTAAAAAAGTGTAGAAAGTAATAATTAAATGTCATTTGAGATATTTTTTCAACAATACAGGAAGTCAAGACACACACTACAATAGCATGGTTTATATGGGAGGATGATTTGCCATCCCCCATATTTATATCTACCTATGTATGTATACATTTCCTATTTATATATTTAAAACAATCAACTTCATATTTATATCTTCTCAAATTGAAATCAGTACAAGAAAAAAACATAAGTAAAAAAGTAGGTCTCTAACAACAAGGAAATTATAGGTAATTTAATGAAATTAATGAATAAACAGATGAATCACAGGTAAGCATACTTGATTAATAAAATAACATGGTATTTACATGTTATTGATAATATGAATAATGTAGAACAATAGATTCATTCCCTTTGGGTAAATGAAAAAATATACTTAGAAAAATCGGTATGCTCTTGTCAATAAAAATGTAGTATAAGTCTCTGAGAAAGAAAAATGCATCACAGATATTTCTCCCTTTTAGAAGGAACAACGCTTTAGTTAAAGAAAGCTATTATGAAGCACACTTTTTGAACTTAGAAGTGCTTTCTTTATTCAGGTGAATTATTTAACTTTCTTCTATGAGTTGAAAGGAGAATTTATTACTGAACAGAAAACCTTATTTCACTAATCAGTTTAAGAAATTTTCTTGATGAGATTAAAGTTTTAAGCTCTTTATCAAAAAGGATATATTTTTCTATTTCTATTGCTGTTTTTAGTTTCCATTCAATAGAAATAAATATGAACTCTGGTTGACTAGTTTTATTACAGAGATTGACTGGTCTAAATGGTAAATATTTATATTTTTATGAATGTCAAGCTCTTGAATTTTAATTATTTGTGAACACAAAAAAACATAAAAATATAGTAAATAGTGACAGTTTATAAACACTGTTACTCATTTCAAATATAAGAGGACTTGAAATAATTTTTTCTACATGTTAGTACTTTATTTTTTTGTCATTGCTAACAAAGCTGCATTTATTTATTTATTTATTTTTATTTTATATATATTTTTATTATACTTTATATACTTCATTATACTTTAAGTTCTAGGGTACATGTACACAATGTGTAGGTTTGTTACATAGGTATATATGGGCCATGTTGGTGTGCTTCACCCGTTAAGGTCTTTTCTGCATCTATTGAGATAATCATGTGGTTTTTGTCTTTGGTTCTGTTTATATGCTGGATTACATTTATTGATTTGCATATGTTGAACCAGCCTTGCATCCCAGCTCAACTACATGGAAACTAAACAACCTGCTCCTGAATGACTACTGGGTACATAACAAAATGAAGGCAGAAATAAAGATGTTCTTTGAAACCAATGAGAACAAAGACACAACATACCAGAATCTCTGAGACACATTTAAAACTGTGTGTATAGGGAAATTTACAGCACTAAATGCCCACAAGAAAAAGCAGGAAAGATCTAAAATTGGCAACCTAACATCACAATTAGAAGAACTAGAGAAGCAAAAGTGAACACATTCAAGAGCTAGCAGAAGGCAAGAAATAACTAAGATCAGAGCAGAACTGAAGGAGATAGAGACACAAAAAAACCCTTCGAAAAAATCAACGAATCCAGGAGCTGGTTTTTTGAAAAGATCAACAAAATTGATAGACCGCTAGCAAGACTAATAAAGAAGAAAAGAGAGAAGAATCAAATAGATGCAATAAAAAATGATAAAGGGGATATCACCACCGATCCCACAGAAATATAAACTACCATCAGAGAATACTATAAACACCTCTACGCAAATAAACTAGAAAATCTAGAAGAAATGGATAAATTCTTCAACACATACACCCTCCCAAGACTAAACCTGGAAGAAGTTGAATCTCTTAATAGACCAATAACAGGCTCTGAAATTGAGGCAATAATTATTTACTTACCAATCAAAATAAGTCCAGGACCAGACGGATTCACAGCTGAATTCTACCAGAGGTACAAGCAGGAGCTGGTACCATTCCTTCTGAAACTATTCCAATCAACAGAAAAAGAGGGAATCCTCCTTAACTCATTTTATGAGGCCAGCATCATCCTGATACCAAAGCCTGTCAGAGACACAACAAAAAAAGAGAATTTTAGACCAATATCCCTGATGAACATCGATGCAAAAATCCTCAATAAAATACTGGCAAACCGAATCCAGCAGCACATCAAAAAGCTTATCCACCATGATCATGTTAGTACTTTAAATTGAATTCATTTCCCACAGACATTATAAAATCCCCAAACTGATTTATGGCATTTAAAACAGCAGCCCCTCTCTTCTATTCATTCTACATTGTTAAAAATAAAAGGTCTTAGGAGGCTGAGGCAGGAGAATCGCTTGAACCCATGAGGTGGAGGCTGCAGTGAGCCAAGATCATGCCACTGCACTCCAGCCTGGGTGACAGAGCAAGGCTCTGTCTCAAAAAATAAATAAAATAAAATAAAATAATAAAAGGTCTTTGGGTAGTTTCAAAATCTTATTATAAATTGATCTTTGTTTCTACGCTTAATTGTTTTCTAACAGCCCCTTTATGTAAAAAGCTAATAGTGTAGACTAATAGGAAATAGGTACAATATCAAAAATCATTCCATATAGGAAGTTTTAAAAGAAGTACATTTAATATTCAATGGTTGTATGATAAGGATGTATCTACTTCTGCTCTATTTTTTCTGAGTTCATGATATTATTATTTTACTTTTATTTCTTACAAACATCTTTAGTGGATGGAGCTGATAGCTATCTATAAACTAATATCAAATGGGATTGTTTTTAAAATAATATGAAAAGAACCTATGTCATTAGTCTGGCCTCTCTATTCCCTTTCTTTCCATAGCCTGAGTAACACAAACCTCACCAGTAGGTCTTATAAAATATGTATTTTCCCTAGTTTAGATAATGACTGAAGCAATTTATATTTGGTCTCAACTTTTTACATTCGATACTAATTCATTTCTGATTATCTAATTCCAACTGAGTAAAAAATCCTAATAACTCTTCTACTTTTATTTCTAGGTTCAGTTGAACCTAGAAAATGATGTGGCTGAAGTGATGAATCTATTCTTTTAAATGAATTTGACTTGCATTCATTCCTTCTTGTGAATAAAATGCACAATACCAGTATGTCTCAGAACTGTGCCTCATATCTTGTTTTATTTATTGATTGATTTATTGATCTATTCATTTATTGAGATGGAGTCTTGCTCTGTTGCCCCAGCTAGAGTGCAGTGGTGCCATCTCGGCTCACTGCAACTTCTGCCTCCTGGGTTCAAGTGATTCTCCTGTTTCAGCCTCCTAAGTAGCAGGGATTACAGGTGCATGCCACCACGCCTGGCTAATTTTTCTATTTTTAGTAGAGACGGGGTTTCACCATGTTGGCCAGGCTGGTCTGGAACTCCTGACCTCAGGCGATCCACCCACCTTGCCCTCCCAAAGTGCTGGGATTACAGGCATGAGCTACTGCACACATCCTCTTATCTTATTATTGACTCCATATTTGGCAGCCTTCCTGTATGTGTTCTGTTGGCTCACTACATGGCTTTAATATTATCTTAATTTATGCTAAGTACTATCATCCTACAGCCAAAGATAGCATGCATATCTATATGTTCCCAAAGTCCTGCAGGTAGGAACTGTACACCTTACTCAGTAAAGGCTGCAGTATGCCCCAGAAACTACTGAGCCATGGACTCTTTATATTTTTTGCTCATCTCAGGGTTACGTTCATATATTGTGTGTTGTAGAATGCCCATTGTAATGATGTGTTAACCCTCTGAGATAGCTTGTTGCTTTATGTGTAACTTCCTATCACACGTATGTATCTGAAAACTGACTAGAGAGTATGAACACCATTGGACAATGCATTTATCTACCACGCAAAATATTTATTCTCAGAAGTGCTTGAGGATATTTTCCTTCAGCTCAGACTTGTGTGAAATGTGCATATTCTCAAAACTAAACTGTCCCAACTGTAAATGACAAGGCTAAATCCTTGTCAAGCCAAAAGAAGGATGAAAGGATTTGGGATAAAATCAAAATAAACACATTAATAATAAATAGGTTATTTCTAAAGCATGATTAATAAGATGTTTTATGTTTCTAAACATAACAAAAATTTACTTCTGCTCTTCAGTTATTCTTTTACAATACACATGAAATTTTAAAGTGGAATCATTAAAAATAAGTAAACAAAATACCCTTTGTGAGATGCAATTAGTAAAATCTAAAAAAATATAGTTCGTTAGGCCAATGACATATAACAGCAAGACTTATAAAGATGGCAAAAGTTATCTTTGATAGACAAGGTAATTTTTATATGCTACACACAACATTGGCTGTTGAGAAACAGATGGAAAGTACATGTATAGAAGCACAATTTATTTTCTTTTTATGAATTTTATAGCTATATACCTTGTCAATTTTTCCTAATAATGCACCTGCAAATTTTTTTGGGGGGGGACTTCTCTATGACAGCCCATCATGATATCTTGGGAAATAATGTGTTTTTATTACTTTTTTCAATCTTTATAGAATTAATTTATTTTGTATGTTTTAGTGTGCTTATTAGAATTATCAGGACAATGTGAAAGGTAAGCTTTGATTGCAGAGATCCCTGTGTTATTCCTTATTTTAAAAGAATTTTCCCAACATTTCCTCATTGATTGATGATATGCAATAAGATATTTGCAGGTAATCCTTAGCATGACAAAGAAATTATCTTTGTTTTCTAGTTTTTTAAGATGGTTTTTATATTATGAAGACATGTCAGACTTGAAGAATACTTATTCTGAATCCATCTATCTTGTATTCTCTTTATTGTCTTCACTCCGTTAATGTACTGAATAGTTTTTTTAATATATTTTGCTTGTTCACCTCCCGTTGCCAGTTCCCAGGATAAATCAACTTTTCATGTTGAATTACCATTTAATATACTGCTAGAGTTGGACATTAACAGTTTATGGAAAATATTGGGAGCTTTGTTGATGAAGAAATTCACTATACCTATCTGATAATATTCCTGTCATCTTTTGGTACGTAGGTGATATGGCTTCACTGAATGAGATAGAAGATATTCCTTTGTATATTACTTTAAAATATTTGGATATCATTAGAATGTTATACTCTAGGAATGCCTTATAGACCTTTATGTTGGCAATCACTGGGCCTGGTGTTTTTCTTGTAGTTTCATAAGAAATATTTTAATTATTTCAATTTTATAGGGGTATTCAGATGTTTTGTGATTCAGATGCAAGTTCTATTTTTTCTAAGAATTCTGGTATTTCATCAAAATCCTCAAGTTATTACTATAATACAGTACTCTCATTTTTAAATGCAGTTATCTTTGCTTTATCATTACTAATATTATTTTTATGTGAGCCTGTTTTTTTCTTGTCAGTCTGGCCAGAGATTTTTCTCTCTTATTTTTTTTCAAAGAACAAACTGCATTTATTGTTTTCCCTATGTTATGCTATTTTTCAAATTTCATTGTTGCCTAATATTATCTGTACTATCTCTTTTATACATTTTCTTTTTGGGTGAATATTTCCAGTGTCTTTAGGTTTATCATTCAGTATAATAATTCTTTCTTTGAAAATAAAATATTAAACTATAATAAATGTATCTTTCTAGAAATTTAGTTCTTAATTAAAATTAATATTTGTCTTTTTATACCTAATAGTCCTTGTCAAGTGGTGAATTTTGTGATTGTATTCTTATTTTGTTTAAATTACATACAGAGTTGTATGTGCTGTATCTGTAACTAGAGCTCCTAGGGAGTCTCAATATTATTTTCATTATTGTTTTTTGTATTTTATTCTTATTTATTTTAACTTTTACTTTAAGTTGAGGGTACAAGTGCAGGTTTGTTATGTAGGAAAATTTGTCTCATATGATTTTGTTGTACAGATTATTTAATCACCCAGTTATCAAGCCTAGTACCCATTAGTTATTTTTCCTGATCCTCTCCATCCTCCCACCTCCACCTTCCGAACCGCCCCAGTGCATGTTGTTCCCCTCTATGTATCCATGTGCTCTCATCATTTAGCTCTCACAATAGAGTGTGGCAATTCCTCACACACCTAAAGACAGAAATAGCATTCAACCCAGCAATCCCGTTACTGGGTATATACCCAGTAGAATATAAATTATTCTATTTTAGAACACATGCACCTGCATGTTCATTGCAGCACTATTTATAATACCAAAGACAGGGAATCAACCTAACTATCCATCAATAGTATTTTCATTAATTCTAAATCACAGGGACTTTGCTTTCTCATGTGTTTTGTCATATCAATTAGCCTGTATTAGTAAGTCTATATATTTATTCTTTTAAACCATAAACAAGTCATATTATGCACATGTTACAGTCTGTCAAGATCATCTTCAACTATGAGTTTCTCTTGCAAAGTACTAAAGTTTTTGACATCTGGATTTTGATAAAAATGAACAGCAAGGGTAAAGGCTAAGGCATCTGAAGAATAACATCAATTCCTTCATCTTATTTCATTGTTTTTGGTAACTCATGAAATTTGCTCTTCATAAGTTACCTCAAACTTTTCAGAGTTTATAGCAAAGCACTATTGCTCTATATGTGAGTGTGTGGGGAGTCTTAAACATAAGAGTGTTAATAAATGTCCAGAGTTATTTGAAAACAATAGGAATTATTAAATATCTATGTGATTTTCTACAATCACATATTAGAAAGAAGGCCAATAATTCACCACTTTTTATTTCACCTATTAATTTTATAACTTTTGTCAATTTTATATTTGGAAGAAAATCAATAACATATTTATTTATATGCATCACATTTGTTCTGCTATTTAATCTCTACTTGATTATTTACATATCTCAATTCACAATTTTAGCAATATCTGGTATTTGTTTATTTATTACTTATGAGGGTGACAGTCATGTCCCAGTGGAGAGACACAGTGAAAGAAAACATTGTCCTCTGAGGCTCTCCTGGTGTGAAGTTCTGACCTCAAGCTATCTATTCAAATAGGCAACTGCTACAACTGGAATGACTAGATAAATTCACAAGAGAATAAATCTTATTTCAGGTCAAAGAACAGAAAAAAATATTTGAAGAAAAGAAGAAAAGATCTAACCTTCATTATACAGGTGCAAACAGGTGATACTTGTTGAGTGTGTGTGTGTGTAACTTCAGGATGAATAAGGCAGATGAAATATTTAAATGTAGACATGTTGAAAGCCAATATAATTTATTCCAGTGAAATAACAGATTGTTAATATAATGCAATTATTTCTTTTAGTAAAATATTTCTTAAAATATATCATCTTCTAATATTATTAGTATATTTCCCCAAGGTTAACTCTGTATTGGAACATTTCAAAATATAACTTTGACTAATTTAATTGGAGCAGAAGACCAGTGCGTGCACCTACATTAAACTGACATTAAATGGAAATAGCAAGAGCAGTGCCTAATAGTATGTGCCTCTAATCCACTGAAGGCCTGACCCTAATGGCCAAAAGCACTTCAATTAAGTTTCATTGCTCTTCATTACATTTTCTCAATATATGTGTCTGATGTGATTGTTTCTGCTCTCACAAGACACAGGAACTTTTGATAAGGGCTAGGGGTAACTTTGTTTTTTATGTAATTTAATTCTAATGTGAAATGTCTTTACGGTTTTTAGAATTCCACTATTCAGTGGTATTTTATCTTTCTCTTTGGGTTATTACTGCTTTCTAATCTTGCTTAGAATATGTAATTAATTTAATTTTTTTTCTCTCTATGCTCTATGTCCTTCTATAATACAGGATTGCACAGATTGCCTTTTGTGATAAAAAGAGGAAGAAAAATGGCAGCAACCCAGATTATTATTATACTTAAATGGTCTCTCACACTTTATGAAGATCTTTGTGTAAAAGTATTAAGCAGTCCATTTAACAGAGAAGTATGTTTGTTTCACATGTATCAGAAAATGTGAGTCTTAATTAAAATAGATCCTGACGTCAAATGCTATTGATGAGCAGTTATTATTCTATATGCTATATTTTATATCAGTGTAATGTGTATGAAGTTTTAAAAGACCTTCTAGGTTTCTGCCAGATAGTGATACAGTGATAAAATATCAGCAGTTCAAAAAAAAAAGAATGAAAGGTTTATATGAATGATGACACTGAAAAAAAAAAACAGACCCTCAGAACTAAGGTATCTCTTGATAAATAAAGCTGTTAGATGTTATGTGGCAATATCAGATGTCAGGAGACAGAAAGAAAGTATTAGTTGCTTCCAAGGGATCTGATATAATGAATATAGTAATTAGGTAGATTGATCACGGTCCCTCGGTTATAGAATCAAGTTGATAAGACTCTACTAGTGAGTGGAAGTTGGTGGGGTCAAGATTTGTTAAGAAAATCTTATGTATTGTTTAGCAAACTATATGTAGAAGAAACTACTAGAGACATAGAGAATTACACAATGTTTATAGGTAGACATAAAACTGAATAAAACTTCATGTAATGGTTGTTATATATGCTACTTAGTTTTTCACCAACTTATTTCTTTTAATATTTCATAAAAATTATGTTTTTAAAATTAATTTATATTCATATACATAGTTCTAGTTTAGTCACAATGTTTCAGAGTGCATACATATGAAGTAAAATATAAAGAATGTAAAGGGGTGATAAATATAAATTCAGAAATGTAAATATCTCTATGTGGAAGAAGAATACAATCAGTAAAATATGTAGGAATGATTCAACTCTGTTTTAAGCTTTATTTGTTAATAGTGGAGACAGAATTTTTTGTATTCTTTATTCATTTTATATTCTTGAAATAGTTCAAAATAAATTTAAGTTTTCTCCAAAATGTCTGGCGATATAATTTATAAGTTAATGGCAACACTATACATCATAGTGCATGAAGATAAGAATATATCATGAACATTATAAGGTAGAATTTGAGAAGGAACTGAAACCCCTGCAGTATTGAGTATTTTTTTTTTCCTTCTATCATGGGCTCTGACCACAATAGAAATCTCTTTCCACAACAAAATGATCTTCAACTAAGATGTCACATTAATGGATCTTAAATAAGCACTAGTGTAGTATATAGACTTAATTCTTACACAAAAGCTTATTTCACAGCCTCTTATGATTTTTTCAAGGGCACATATGTTTATTTGTGTAGTCCTTGCAAATCCAAGTGTTTAATGACTATATGTAGATAAGTGTGTACATGTAAACATACATACTTCCACATTAAGTTCTCTGTGTGTTTGATTTATATATCCTTCTAAAATATCCATCATTACCTATTGTTTTAACACAATTATCTTCAGTAAACAGAAACACAAAATAGAATGTCATTGTTTTATTGTCCCTGTGAAGACAGTAGCATATGAGGTGGCTTTAATATTAGAATATAATAGAATTTTTTTTTACTTAGTTGGCAAATTGTAAAGACAATTTATTGTATGGTGGAAACAGCATTTAATCTTAATGAAATCAGGGTGGGATTTCTTTTTCCATTACCCATACCAGTTTGGAAAATTGTATTCAATTTTCTGGTTTTTATATTTTGAAGCTATGCAAAAAACACTTGAAACTATAATTTTGAAACTCCTTTATGGTGTGAAAATTTTATGGTCATTTATCACTAAAGATGATGGGATATAAAAAAGCATAGAGCCAATTGGAGGTATAAAGATATACTTAGAATATGGAATTGAGGTAGCATTTTTAATCATCTCTGTTATTCCTACTTATGTCATTATTGAATTGAAATGCATGCACTTTATATGCAAAGCTACATTTTTTGTTAAAATCAAATAAATATACTGGCAAACTCCAACCTCCCAATTTAACATTTGCATGTTTTCTTGATTTTAAATTGTATGGTTGAAGGAAACAGAAATGCTTCTATTCTGAAATTTGAGAAACACCATTTAAATAAATTTTACATCTGCCAATTTGCAGTTATATAATCAGAGTTAACTAAGTCAATTAAAAGGTACATTATAAATTAGAGGTGTCTTTATTGAAACCTAGCTTAAATGGAGGAAGCAATTATATATTCAGTGTGAAAACCATAGAGAAAATAAATCCATCAGTCCAGGAACTACCTAAGTTAAACTTCCTATATTATCAAAAATTTATTTTGCTCTCTGTAGGGAGACCCCCTGAAACTATCGCTATAGAATAAAAGATAAAATGCTCCTGATTATTGTAAATACAAAATTGCATGCAGGACTGTGTAAAGACAATGCCAGGTTGGACTGCCAGAACGAGCCCACAGTGTGTGATGTGCTTCCCCCTGCAGAGACCCTATGAATGGACGTGCAGTCAGGGAGGTTTCACATCACCAAGATTCCTATCCCAGAAAAGCAGATGTTCATAGCTCTGGGAATGGAACGCGACCCACGTGGAGAGCCTATAAACGGACGCATGGGGGCGCCTGTCCATATGGATAAGATAGGGCTATAAACGCCCTCATCTTGCTGCGGCTCTTCTAGGCCTCTTTAGGGTTAAGGCATACTCCCTTCTGAGAATTTCTGGTCTAACCGGTTGTCTAGTTTCATGTCCTGTTTCCATGGATTGTTTGTCACCAGCTTTTGTTGCAACAGTTACTGCTGATTAATATCTTGCTAATCATAGGTTATGGAAAGATTGTTTTTCTGTTTTAAGGCTCTGTTAGAAATTACTGACACACACACTATATTGGAAATTCTTATCTCTGTATACTGTATTTTTACATACAAATGTTATGTTAAAGAATTACTTCATCCCCATGTGACCATCTCACCTCATAATCAAATGACCCTAAATCCCTCACTAACCTACCCCCACCCTCACTAAACTTAATAATAAATGCTGGTATATCCAGTGCATTGTTGGCACCATGGGACCAGAAGGCGGTGACCCTCCTGGACCCAGCTTTCACTATCTTCTGTGTGTCTTATTTTTCAAACTGCCGATCTACCTGGGAACGAAGAGAGAGCCCCGTTGCATTGCGGGCTGCTGACCAGATCCTGCAATAGCTCTCTTCATAACATTACATGTATATGTGGCTACAATTTCTGGATGTTTAGTATTTTCAAAGTTTCTGGGAAAAAAAAATACACTTCATTGAAATCAGTAAGGAATTTACCATCTGTTTACAGAGCAGTGATATCAAGGCAAAGTGATGCTCTGTGGTATATTTCCAAACCCCTAACTGAAATGCACAAGGCACATATGCTTGCCAACGTGATTTAAAATAAGAATCTGGCCAGGTGCATTGGCTCACGCCTGTAATCCCAAAACTTTGGGAGGCTGAGATGGGTGGATCATCTGAAGTCGGGAGTTCCAGACCAGCCTGGCCAACATAATGAAACCCTGTCTCTACAAAAAAAAAAAAAAAAGAAAAAAGAAAATAATTGCCAGGTGTGGTGGCGGGCTCCTGTAATCCCAGTTACCTGGCAGGCTGAGGCAGGAGAATCGCTTGAATCCGGGAGGTGGAGGTTGCAACGAGCCAAGATCGCACCACTGCACTCCAGCCTGGGCAACAAGAGCAAAACCCCATCTCAGAAGAAACAAAAACAAAACGAAACAAAATAAGAAGCCAATTAGTGTGCTCAACATCTCCAAACCTGGTCTGGATGCACATTACTTATAAATAAAGAAGCTGTAGTTTAAAGACTTAAAAATGATAATTAAAGGTAGGACTTAGCACATGTTCTTGTTAATAATAAGCATGTTAGATAACACTGACAACTTTTAAGGATCAAAACTCTTCAACGCATTAACTAGAGGTTAAATTTACAATATTTTTCCCTAATTTTAAGACTTTATTCCAGTTACTCAGCCTCTTAATTATCTCTATCTAGAGTTATTGAAATGATTAAACTTACCTAAAGGACTGAGTTAATTATATAAGCATATATTATAATCTCAATAAATGATTTCTATCATCTTATGTAATTCTTATTATTATAACACATGATATTATATTCTGGTTTAGGTCATTCATATCATTTAGCAAAAGTAATAAACTATTAAAATTCAGTGAAACTGAAATCTGTATCAGGCACTCAGCTAAACTCATTTAAAACTTGAAAACCACCTGATGAAATATGCATTATTATTTTTCCCATCTCAAAGGGGAAAAAATTAAATTTTAGAGATTGTGAGTAAATTTTTCAGGGCCCTGCAGTTAGTAAGCATTGAACCTGGAGTTAAATCCTGAATCTGGCAGATCTTAAGTCTTGTTCTCAGAAGGGTTAAATATATTGCCACATAGGTAGAAAATCACTTCAGAAAGTAAGTCATTGAAAAGATCAGTGTTAAACTAATTATTATTTTTTTTACAGTAGCCCTCCCTTATCCAAAAGGGATAAATTTTGTGACCCCCAGAGGATGCCTTAAACCACAGATAGTACCGAACATAATTGTTGTCAATAGTAATATGTTTGTTTTTATGTCTTCCACTCCTTCCATGCCTTTTGTTTTTAACTAGGAATTTATTATACACTTTGGCCATAACTATTGCAATTTGAGGTGAATCAGCAAAACTAACACAAATTTATTTCTTCTTCTTCACAATTTCACAAACAGAAGAATTGTTCTTACTGTGTATCATAGCAACCTTGGGATATGACCCATTTTACTTAAAGGAAATCTTTTATGGCTTGTCTTTGATATATCTGAATTGTCAGCACCACTATGCATACACTTTTAGGACATTATTAAGTAAAATAAGAGTTACTTGAACATAAATACTGCAATACCATGTCAGTTGATCTAATAACTGAGTGACTAACGGGTAGGTAGCAAATACACTGAGATTATGATAGAGAAAGGGAGGACTGGAGGGATGAGTGAGACAGTGTGAGATTTCATCACAGTACTTAGAATGGAGTGCAACATAAAACTTGTGAATTGTTTACTTCTGGAAATTTCCATTTAATATTTTTGGACTGCTGTTGACCATAGGTAACTAAAGAAATAGAAAGTAAGTGTGTCCAGGTTTTAAAATTTCTACTGGGTGACATCTTTACTAAATGAGATCTTAAAAATCTTGTCCACCTTTCCACCCCTTCCAATTTTCTCAGCTGTTAAGTTTGCAACCATACAAGTGAATCTCCTCAAGAGCTCAAAGCTAGTGCTAAACCCACATGAGCTCAAAACTCAACTTTCGCTTATCCTTTGGAATTTTCTGTCTTTCTCTAGAATCCTTAGCCCTGCATACCACTGCAAATTAGACTTAGCTTTCCATTTCTGAGGTTCCTTAAAATAATAGAGAATTATGCTTATCCAGTGTTTACATCCCATATTAGACAAGAATCAAATTGACCTTCAAGTGTGATGGAATGAGCACAGTTATCATTGAGAGGTTTTAGTGTAAACATACACCTGGATCAAATTATAATATAGTACATCCAACTGAAATGAATAGAAATTAAATATTTTATTAAAATATATCAACATTCTATTACACATTCCCTGCCTCAATACTGTACTAAACATTTCAGACTGTTAAAGATCAAAATCAATTATATCATTATGTATTATATTTCACTGGAATAAAAATACTTTTTAACATACAAACATTTGAAAGAAATAAATTAATGCCATTCTGTTTGACATTATGCTTATGTTTTCAATTTATACTTGGAAGTTTGAAAACAGAGAAATAAATTGTGTGGCTGCTTCACATTAGTGTGAAAACTCCTCTGACACTGTAAAAATAACAACAGCATTAAGTTACTTAAATAATTTGTAGTGCTTGAAGAAAGCTCATTAGCACCTTGTAAATTTTCACATAGCCTGTGTTATAACTTCATTTCCAGAGGAGTTATCATAGCACAAAAACAAATCCCATGTGCAATTAATAACTGAAAGATTCACTGAATGATTTTGAATAGAAGACTCTACATAATAAAGAATAAATTTTCAACTTAGCGTGTAGGGCTGAAACATTAATAAGAGCCATACTGGTAGAAATTATTCTTTCTTTTTACCTACCCACCCACTTAGAAGATTAGTTCTATATCACAGATTCTACACTTTAGTAGATCATTCATTTTGTTGGAAAGTAATGTCAGGTAATTTTGCAGTTTGAGATAATTTTTTTTTCAAAAGTTCAATGCATTATTTTCCTGAAAATATTTTCTTTGTTAATTTATTCTTCAACATAAGGAATAAAGATAATACATTAGAATTCAATATGTGCCATCACATAGTATTCTGATCTAAAACTCAACAGATAAACAAACCTTCAGGGACAAGGGGGATCTTCATTTTCACTCATGTAATTGAGGCTTAGCAAACTTCTGCTACGGAGATCAGGACCCACAGCTGCCACCAATAGATGATGTGTATCCAGTTCTAAAGAAGACCCTCAGGGATTAGTAAACAGAAAATGGAATTTATTCCTACTGCAATTGCCATTTTTCCACAACGGTAGCTCTCCAGCTCTTATCCCCAAACTTTACGCAACGACTGGGGATAAAGAGTTGAGAGCTGCAAGGTGAGAGTCGCTGACATAGACTTTGTAAGATTTTTGGAAACATATTGTAAAGGCTACTCACAGGCAGACAGGTGAGGGGGCCCTCAGAAGAGTAATTCATAGAAAATAGAGGTATTGGGATCTCAATCACTTGCTGAAAGCTAGCTGAACTGTAGAATCTTCAGGATTACCCTCCCACCACTTTCTCTGCTGAGACTTGCCTGGTGAGAGTAATCTTCAAGGAACATGTCCTGTTTATGGAGTTGGCGTGCATATGCGGAAAAAAGACCACTGACCTGTAATACATTTTAGTTCTAAAAGCACTATGTAATAAAATAAGCTCTGTGGAGTATATAAGAAAATATCAGCTTGACCTCTGATTAAAATTTAGTAAATAGAACTTAAAAATTATTAATCATGATAAAAATTGAAGAAAAGTAAGTAAAACACATATATATTATGATTAATATATGCATTTTACATATGTAAATGTGTATATATAATTAATATAATAAAATATATTATTGAGCATATTATGTATATAAATAAATAAATATATAATTAATACATATACGTGATTTCAAAGGCAAGCCATGCAGTTGAAGAAGATATTTGTAACACACAAAAGTTGTAGAAGTTTGTTCTCAGAATGCATTTTAAAAACATACAATTTAATTTTTTAAGAGTTCAATAGGAATAAATGAACACATTTTTAAGATAATTATATTTGCATAAACTGTTCCAGTTTTCACTAAAAGAGACAAAGAGAGTAAAAACAAAGTCACTTTCTGAGTGGGCTGTAAGCTATGCTCAGCTGAGGTATTTGCAATAAAGAATTCATAAATCCAGAGGGCAGAGACAAGAATCATGGAGAATCAGTCCATGGTAAGTGTATGACTGAGTCTTAAAGAAGAAAATTTTCAATTGGCTTGTCATAATTTCAAAAATACTGAGAAACAGTGATTTTTGTGTTCTTCCCAACAGCCACCCTTCTTTGGAAAGGAATGTGTGTAGCAGTATCCTAGAACCACCTCACTGTGTTAGCTGTGTGTATGTAAATAGGAGACAGATAAATTGTTTCTTTAACTCACAGAACCTAGAATGAGAGAAACTACTTGAGAAGTTGCTCATAAAACTTAATTTGGATAATAAGATATGATAATTTTAATAAGATGACACATTTCACGGCCTAGGAGGAGGGTGAGTGTATTTTGCATGTAGGGGTAACAGGAAGCATTGGTGGCCAGAGGACACACTGTGCTGGCCGGCTGCTGAAACAGCCCCAAGTGATTTCTGCTTCCGGGTATTCAGGGGCCTTGTGAAGTTCCCACCATAATTATGAGGGCTGACTTGTGTGGCCATAAGGATATTGCAGAAATGACAGAAAGTGATGACTTCTCATATTATTCTGAAAATCTTGAATTATTTTTCTAATACAATAGAACGAGTGTATATGAAGGGAAGATTTGAATAATTTTTTGGCTATAGCAGTACTGTGAAATTTTACCTTTCTCACTGTCAAGATACATACTCAACACTAAAGGGAAGGTTCTGAAAGCAGTCACTTGAAAGCTCAATACTTATACATTGAGGCTTGTAGGATAAAGTAAATGTGTGTCTAAGTCATGGATAATAATCAAAATCATAAGAGATGAACAAAATAGGGTTGTAGTTTAGGAGGTACCTACCTTTTCATTCAGAGCAAAGATGGGAAGCTTTTCCCATGTAACAGCTGTAGGTGATAACACACAAAAATATTCATTGTAGTATATATTAGAACCTCTCCAATAAAGCCTTCTCAATGTGAACAAATCATAATAGGTAGAAGCTGAGGTATGTCTGGATTCTACAGGCTGGTGACTTAATGAGTGACCAGCAAAAATAGAGATGCATTTATCTCCATCAAAAAAGAGTAGATCAATAATGCCAGCAATGTGGAATAGCTTGTGCAGCAGAAACATGTCTACAAGAGCAAATTGAAATACTCCCTAAGTCTAGCAAGTACTGATACTAGAGCTGTGCCACCAGTTTGTGACAGTATCAGCTAGGAAGGAATTAACTGGCTCAATTCCTATTCTTCTTCCTACAGGCCAACCAAGGAATGGTCAGAAGCTTTAATTAAACCTAATGTAAATGACGAGTTAATGGGTGCAGCACACCAACATGGCACATGTATACATATGTAACAAACCTGCACGTTGTGCACATGTACCCTAGAACTTATAGTATAATAAAAAGAAAAAGAAAAAAAAATAGCTGCAGTTAGCAAGAACAAGAGAGAAGCCGACTAAATAACCTTCTCTGGAGGCAGACTTCTTCCCCATAACATGCATGATTTGGGTGAATAACAGATGCTATATTTTAAATCAAATTTAGAATTCATAACATTTTAATTCTGTAAACATTTTTCAACATAGCCATAGTGTACGCATTCTCTACATGAAATCAAACATTGTGCTTGGAGATTCATTGGAAATTAGATATTTCAAACATAGAGATTCCCTTTCTTCATGGCCATCTCCCATTTTTACTCCCAGAGTTCAACTCACCACAGAATTACAAAGCATTTCTGTTTCTTTGGCAAAAATATAAAAGAAAGTATAATTTAGTTTATTTTTTAGGCATATCAACTCAGAAAACAAGACTTTGGGTGTGAGTTTTTTTTTTTTTTTTAATACATTTGGTTCTATAGGCTACATACCCTGATGAATTTGCACTCGCTGTACCAACATGAATTAAATAAGTTCATATTACATGAAACAAATGTAAAATGCAATTGCCCCATGTTCATGTTGGCCATTTAAAAAATTGTGAGTCCTAGATAAGAAGACGCATGGTTTGTAAGGACTTTACATATATCGGGATATTTAATCTTTGTAGGGTCGTCCCAGTGTAGGGGGTATTTTTAACCATTCTGTGTTGAGGCAATTGAGGCACAGAGAGTTAAAGTAACTCAAAAATCTCACAGATAAGAAGAGACAGAGGTCAACTATACACACATGCAGCATTACTCTATAGGCTATGTCCCTATCCGCCACATTGCACTACCTGTGATTCAAAAACGCTAGTTGCAAGTTTTCTTTTTGGCCAAGTCATATCTAAAAGAGAAGACAAGAGACAGAAATTTTTCAGACTGAGGTAATTATAATAATCAAAATCATGCAAGCAAGTATATTGTTGTTTTATTTCTCAATTTAATATTTTTAAAATATACATAGATTTTCAAATTACTTATAAATAATATATCTTTAATTGTTTGGAAAAGTTGCTGTACAGCTATAATAATGTATTAAATATTGATTATGAAGCACTGTGTTACAGTAAATTAATTATAAATCATTTGAAGAATAAAATTGGCAAAGAATTAGTATTTTAGTGAAATTTAAAATCATCTCCCTTTTACAATGTATATTTTTGACATTTTCCTTTTTTATACACAGTCTTTTATATTTGTATGATATCTTTGTTCATCTGAGATGAATGCATTTCTTGTGAGTGGATTGAGGCTTAGAAGCATCCTTCTTAGATTTACATCACGAAAAATTTTATAAGAAAAGAATATCTGATTAAATCTTAAATAGAATCTTAATATTAAAAACTAAGGTAGGCCTTTGCTCTCATGAGAATATAAGGGTTTAAATTTTTTAAAGAAAGAAAATAACTTTGTTACTGATTTATTTCATTAAAAAAATCTTTAGTATCAATTATGTGTAATGTAGAAGATGAAAGGGAAAGAGTGTGTTTGGTCATTATACCATCAGGTTAGCAAATTTGATGTTCCCAATATGCCTCTTTCTACATTTTTATTAAAATGTTCATAATGTCACCAGACAGTATAGACAAGGGAAATCCATAGTAAAAAGATCACTAACGACAGAGACTGTGACTGAAATTATACCCTCAGAACAACTTCAGAAAATGATAGGCCCCGGGATGAAAGCAAACAATATTGAATTATTTCACTTTTCTGTCTCTGATTCTAAGTTGCACTGGCTATGTTGAACTGAAAGTAGGAATCTAATTGTGTATTTCTATTAAACTAGGCAGAAAGAAAGTCTGTCATTGTTTTCCAGAACATTTAGATACCCAAGGAAAAGAATTGTAAAGAGGGATGACTGTAAACACACTGATTATCTTAAACGCAGGAACTATTCTTATATTAGAGACTTCAAAGAAGTAACAATCTGATTTCTAGACTCTTGGGCATAGTCTGAATGAAACAAAGATTTCAAAAAGAAAGAAACAAGTGTACACCTAGAACAATCCACGATAATTAAATTTAAACTCAAAATACTATGACAATATAAAGGGGTAAGCACTCCTAAACAAACAAGTTTGTGAGGCACTTTAAAAAAAATAAAATGTGTCTCACCAGTGAGGGC
This sequence comes from Homo sapiens, assembly GCF_000001405.40. Lineage (NCBI taxonomy): Eukaryota > Metazoa > Chordata > Mammalia > Primates > Hominidae > Homo > Homo sapiens. The sequence goes on along the minus strand of NC_000004.12, from coordinate 135,856,124 downwards.
TACAGCACTCTGTGCCTCCAAGTAAACTTGAAAGGCGGTCTAGGTCATAAGGACTGCAACTGTTAGGCAAGTCCTAGTGCTGAACTAGGCCCAGGGACAGTGGAATCGGTGGCAGTGGGGGCGGGGAGGGGGGATGCTCGTGACACACTGAGGCACCAGCTGGGGCAGCCACCCCTCCCCTGATTCCAGGCTGCATAGCTTGCATCTCTAAAAGAGACCCCTTCCTTACACCTGAGGAGAGGACAGGGAAGTGTGGAGAGGACTTTGTCTTGCATCTTGGATGCCAGCTCAGCCATAGCAGGATAGGGCACCCGTCAGCATCTTGAGGCCCTAGCTCCTAGATGACATTTCTAGACACACCCTGGGCCAGAAGGGAACCTACTGCCTTGAAGGAAAGGACTCAGCCCTGGCAGCATTTATCACCTGCTAACTGAAGAGCCCTTGGGCCCTGAGTAACCACCGGCAATATGCAGGAATTACATCAAAGGCCTTGGATGAGCCTATGAAACTTGCTGACTTCAAGTGAGACTCAGCACATTACTAACTGTGGTGGCTAAGGGGCAAAACTCATTTTGCTTGAGAAAAATAGACAAAAAGCAAAGAAGACTTTGTCGTGCACCTTAGGTATCCATATGATCACAGAATGGTAAAGCACCGAGTGAGCTCTTGGGGGCTCCGATTCCAGGACATGACTCTTGAATGGCATTTCTGGACCTGCCCTGGGCCAGAGGGGAGCCCACTGCCCTAAAGGATGAGCCCAGGCCTGGCAGCTTCACAACAAATTGACTTAAGAATTTTGGGGCCTTAAAGAAACATTGGCGGTATTCTGGCAAAACTCCTCATGGCCTGAGGTTGCAGTGGGTACAAAGTGAGGCTCCTCTGCCTCTGGAAAGAGGAGGAAAGAGTGGGAAGGACTGCATCTTTTTTTTCTAGTGCCAGCTCAGCTGAAATATAATAGAACACCAGGTAGACTTCTAAAGTTTTTGACTGTAGTCCCTGACTCCTAGACAGAACTTCTGGACCCACCTGGGGAACCTGGGGGCTGGGGGACCTCACCATCCTGAAAGGAAAGACATAGGGATGGCTGGCTTTGCCCTTTCTGACTGTAGAGCCCCAGGACCTTCAGCAAACCTAGGCAGTAACCAGGGAGTGGTTACAGCAGGATTTAGATGAGACCCAGTGCTGTACTGACTTCAGGTCTGACCCAGCGCGGTCACAGTGGTGGTGGCCACAAGGGTGCTTGTGTCACCCTATCCCCCAGCTTTAGGTGGCTCAGAACAGAGAGAGAGAGAGAGAGAGACTCTCTTGTTTGGGAGAAAGTAAGAGTCTCTGCCACGTAGGTCTAATTTTTTTTTTTTTTTCGGAGTCTTGCTCTGTCACCCAGGATGGAGTGCAGTGGCAGAATCTCGGCTCACTGAAAGCTCCGCCTCCCGGGTTCACCTCATTCTTCCGCCTCAGCCTCCCAAGTAGCTGGGACTGCAGGCACCCGCCACCATGCCTGGCTATTTTATTTTATTTTTTTTTGTATTTTTGGTAGATACGTGGTTTCACCATGTTAGCCAGGATTGTCTCGATCTCCTGACCTCGTGATCTGCCCGATTTGGTCCCCCGAAATGCTAGGATTACAGGCATGAGCCACCGTGCCCAGCCTCTCTCAGGTCTTATCCAAGACCATCAAGGTAGTACCTCTATAAGTCCGTAAGAACTGCAGGATTACTTGGCTTGGGGTGCACCCTAAAGTAGCTACAGCTTAGATTACAACACACAAGTCTTTTCAAATATCCAGAAAGCCTCTCCAAGAAGGATGACTACAATAAGTCAAGACAGTTAAGACTACATTAAATACCTAATTCTCCAGTGCTAAGACTCCAGAGAACCTCTAGTAGCACCAACACCATCCAGGAAAATATGACCTCACCAAATGAACTAAGTAAGGCACCAGAGACCAATCCTGGACAAACAAAAATATGTGATCTTTGAGAAAGAGAATTCCAAAGAGCTGTGTTGCGAGAACTCAAAGAAATTCAAGATAACAGAGAGAAGAAATCTGGAATTCTATCAGATAAATTTAACAAAGAGATTGAAATAATTAAAAACAAATCAAGCAGAAACTCTAGAGCTGAAAAATGCAATTGGCACACTGAAAGTGTCTGAGTCCTTTAATAGCAGAAGGGATCAAGCAGAAGAAAGAATTAGTAATCTTGCAGACAGACTAGTTGAAAACACACAGTCAGAGGAAACAAAATAATAAAAAACAATGAAGCATGCTTACAGTACGTAGAAAATAGCACCAAAAGGGCAAATCTAAGAGTTATTGGCCTTAAAGAAGAAGTAGAGAAAGATAATGGGTGCAACATTTTTATTCAAAGGGAAAATAACAGAGAACTTTCCAAAGTCCTCTGAATGTCTTCCCAAAGATTTCTGAATATCTAGAACTTATCTAGAGAAAGAGGCATATTGGGAACATCAAATTTGCTAATCTGATGGTATAATGACCAAACACAATTTTTCCCTTTCATCTTCTACATTACACATAATTGATACTAAAGATTTAGTATTAATTTTAATAATAATTTTAATCCATTTTTTTGCATTGTGTGTGGGGGGCTGTCTGTGTCTGTGTATGTGTGTGTGTGTGTGTATAGAATTTCTTCCCCCAACAAACCCACATTCAATGACCTTAGAATAAAAGAGCCTTAAGGACAGATTTTTCCTCTAATCTTGGACCATTAGTTCCCTAAAACATAAAAAAAGTAAACATCTGATATGTGTGAGTTTCTCTCTGTGTGCTGAGGTTTTCAGGTCATCATGCTAAGCACTTTCTCACAATATTCTGAATAAGATGTGTTTGCAACTTTTATCACAGGGAAACAGAGACCCAGAGAAACTGTGACATACTCTAATCATAATTCTGAACTAATTCAGTTTAATCAATTAATTTCAGTTATATCCAGTCCAGAGCACATTTTTGTTGAAAAAAGAGAAGGGATAGCAGTATAACAGCACCATTAACAACCAGTATTGTTATTAACAATGATTCAATGTTTAATATGTGCCAACAACTGCCTCATGTCTTTTAATGTTTCATCATATATAATTCATGATGGAAGATATAAAGTAAATTCTATTCCCATTATGTAGGAAGAGAAAATGGACCAAGAGATTTCAGAGACTTGCACACACCACTAAATTCATTAGATCTAGAAAATACCTAAAGACAAAGACAAACCCATTTTCTTTTCTATTACATCCCAGTCATTTTATTAATGTTTTCATGAATAAATATAGTAATGGAAAATATATGCTATATTTTTCATGCAATTTAAAGGAAATATCATAGCATTATTTTCATAATATATGGAAAATATATTAGCCCATATTAAATGAATTGATTTTTTTCCAAATCCCTTAAAATATAATGTTAGAAAAAAAATTCACTTCTGTTTTATAAATAAATTATGGTTAGAAGAATCACCAAATTGTATAAATGTCAGTGCTCTAACTCAAAATAGAAATCTCTGTCTACTCATTAACTGGACATAAACATATAGAAATCAACTGTCAAAGATAAGTTTAATAAAACCAGAATTAATCTATGCTAGAAAGAAAGAAGAAGAAAGTAGAATTACTCTATAGTTCTAATTTCAGTGCCACTTCTTTTTCTTAGAAAAACAAATATTCCATTACAACGTATTTCTCCAAATCAATTTTTCTTATATAACATTTATATTCTAATACTGTCTCTCAGTATCACTTTTGGCATCTTCAAAGCAATGTCAAAAAATGCAAGTTACCCATTTTACTTAAAAGTTTAAAACTGAGAATGGAAAACAATGTCAATATTCTTATCCAATATAATAGATATTTGAATTTAGTTTAAATACATTAATTAGATTGACTTAAACTAAGAAACATTTTGTTATTTGCTGAAAAATATTATGGAAAAATAAGAGAGGACCCAGTTCTAAGGACTCAAAAGAGTTCTTGTGTTTTCCCTTAAACCAAATTTATACATGCAAAAGCATACAAACACAGACACATATATAGCAAGTCTTCACTTAATGTTATTGATAAGTTTTTGAAAACTGCATCTTTAAGAGAAGTGACATATAAGGAAATCAATTTTACTACAGGCTAACTGATATAAACAAGAATTAAATTCCTGTGGCATATTTCTGCTCACAAAAACATTAGCAAACTTCTGAATTAAGACTCAAAACACTTCTATTATCAAACATTACAATCAATGTGAGATATACACATATTTAAGAAAGGTTAATTAAAAACAAGTAAGATCATTATTTACCCAAGTTTGGGTGAATCATTGAGTGTTGGTGGTCATAGTGGTGGTGGGTTAAGGCAAAGAATAACTTGTTAGCAAAGAAAAAATTTTAAGAAGTGCCCCCTACCACCTTGCAGTTCAAAAGCAAATAATAAATAGAGCTGGCTGGCTGTGTATGTGGTCTCTGTGGCAGGCTTCTAGTTGTTAACTGGACCTAATATCAAGTAAAACTTACAGTAGAGATTAAATTGATTTACAATGTGTTTCTCATAGATGCTAGTGGAATTTAATATTATTGGTGACTGCTGTGAGCATTTCCTGCTTCCTTATTCTCAAATTTTAAGAAAAAAAGCAAGAAATAAAACTACGAGGTATATACAATCAGAGCAGACTAAGGCTCAATGAATTTTTAAAGTATTGTGACTTGAAAAATAGATAAATGCATTGAAAAATAGTAACTATAGTGATAATGAAAATAACCTCTTTTCATTGAGGTTTCTATTTATGTTCATTACATAAAATATTTAATCAAAATTTCCAAAGAAAAGGGCTTGCTAATATTCTCAAGAATATTACCATGGGTAATTATATACATTTAACAAAATGACCCTAAGAAAACACAAATTTCATAGACTTACTGTGGTTCTTTATTTATAAAATACACATGAATGTAAATACAACCCCATACTCAACACATAGCTGATAAGTAGTGAGTTTAGTTTCTGGATAGAATACTGCTTCCACCTTAAAATAAAAATGATGTGAACATTTAGAAGAAAGCTCATATGTGAAATGGAACTTCAAGTTCTTTACATTGAAATATGAAATTACTGAATATAACAAAGATTGTCACTTACATTTCTTTGAAATACGCATTGCCTAAAGGAATGAAAGCATTAATAAAACTGAATAAAATTTTTATCAAAAATACCATAAGCCTGAGAGACATAGTTTCACTCAGTCAACGAATTATGATAACAGAAAGAGGCAGGGAAATGACGGAAAAGCAGAGATCAATCATCAGGAAGATGCAATTGAACAGAATCTGTTAAAAAAAATGTTATCTTCTTTGCTTTCCAATATGTTCTCCCTCCCAATCAAGTCTTTAAAGGATTCCATGTTATCTTTTCTCCACGGGACTTCAGAAAGTGGTTTTGTGTTCTTCTATATTCCTTTACGATACTATAAAATTAAGCTATTAAAAACTTATACAAGGTTTTTCTCCAAATGACTGTGAGGCAGACAACAGGTTCTATCAGCCTTGCTTTACTGATAATAAAGTTAGGAAACAAGAAGTTTATGTACCTTGGTGAAGAAGGTCATGTTGCTAGGAAATGTGGAGCTCAAACTAGAGCCCAAGTTTGTGTTCTGTGATTTTTAACAAGTCTCTTTAATTATAATTTTCATAAAAGCAACTAACATTTACAGAGTGTTTATTCAATGACAATCTTCAAAGTTCACTAAGTTACCTACATTACCTAAGTCATTTTTATCTCACAAAAATTCTATGTGCAAATGAGAAAACTGAGGGACAGAGACACACAGCTCCCAAGTATAAGTAGGTGTTAAATATGACCTGGTTTTATTGTCCACTGGACAACTGGGAAAACATTACTTTTAACAACAGGGTCAAAACATTCTTTTTAAATTATTATTATACTTTAAGTTCTGGGACACATGTGCAGAATGTGCAGGTTTGTTACTTAGGTATGCATGTGCCATGGTGGTTTGCTGCACCCATCAACCCATCATCTACATTAGGTATGTCTCCTAATGCTATCCATCCCCTAGCCCCCACCCCCCAACAGGCCCTGATGTGTGATGTGCCCCTCCCTGTGTACATTCTATTCTCATTGTTCAATTCCCACCTATGAGTGAGAACATTCAGTGTTTGGTTTTCTGTTCCTGTGTTAGTTTGCTGAGAATGATGGTTTCCAGCTTCATCCATGTCCCTGCAAATGACATGAACTCATCCTTTTTTATGGCTGCATAGTATTCCATGGTGTATATATGCCACTTTCTCTTTATCCAGTCTATCATTGATGGGCATTGGGTTGGTTCCAAGTCTTTGCTATCGTGAACAGTGCTGCAATAAACATATGTGTGCATGTGTCTTTAAAGTAGTATGAATTATAATCCTTTGGATATATACCCAGTAATGAGATTGCTGGGTCAAATGGTATTTCTGGTTCTAGATCCTTGAGGAATCACCACACTGTCTTCCACAATGGTTGAACTAATTTACACTCCCACCAAGTGTAAAAGTGTTCCTATTTCTGGGCAACCCACTTGGGTCCCCTTCCACGCTGTGGAAGCTTTGTTCTTTTGCTCTTCACAATAAATCTTGCTGCTGCTCACTCTTTGGGTCTGTGATGCCTTTATGAGCTGTAACACACACACACACACACACACAAAATGTGTTCCTATTTCTCTACATCCTCTCCATCATCTGTTGTTTCCTGACTTTTTAATGATCACCATTGTAACTGGCAGGAGATGGTATCTCATTGGGGCTTTAATCTGCATTTCTCTCATGACCAGTGATGATGAGCTTTTTTGCATATGTTTATTGGCCACTTAAATGTCTTCTTTTGAGAAGTGTCCATTCATATCCTTCACCCATTTTTAGATGGGGTTGTTTTTTTTCTTGTAAATTTGCTTAAGTTCCTTGTAGATTCTGGATATCTGACCTTTGTAAGGTGGATAGATTGCAAAAATTTTCTCCCATTCTGTATGTTGCCTGTTCACTCTGACGACAGTTTCTTTTGCTCTACAGAAGCTCTTTAGTTTAATCAGATCCAATTTGTCAATTTTGGCTTTTGTTGCCATTGCTTTTGGTGTTTTATTCATGAAGTCTTGCTCATGCCTATCTCCTGAATGGAACTGCTTAGGTTTCTTCTAGGGTTTTTATGGTTTTAGGTCTTATGTTTAAGTCTCTAATCCATCATGAGTTAATTTTTGTATGAGATGTAAGAAAGGGGTCCAGTTTCAGTTTTCTGCATATGGCTAACCAGTTTTCCAAACACAATTTATTAAATAGGGAATCATTTCCCCATTGCTTGTTTTTGTCAGGTTTATCAAACGTCAGATGGTTGTAGATGTGTGGTGTGATTTCTGAGGGCCATATTCTGTTCCATTAGTCTATATACCTGGTTTTGGTACCAGTACCATGCTTTTTTGATTACTGTAGTCTTGTAGTTTGAAGTCAGTAGTGGGATGCCTCCAGCTTTGTTCTTTTTGCTTAGAATTGTCTTGGCTATATGGGCTTTTTTTTGGTTCCATATGAAATTTAAAGCAGTGTTTTCTAATTCTCTGAAGAAAGTCAATCATAGCTTGATGGGGATAGCATTTAATGTATAAATTTCTTTGGGAAATAAGGTCATTTTCATGGTATCGATTATTTCTGTACCTGAGCATGGAATGTTTTTCCATTTGTTTGTGTCCTCTGTTATTTCCTTGAACAGTGGTTTATAGTTCTCCTTGAAGATGTCCTTCAAATCCTTTGTAAGTTGCATTCCTAGGTATTTTATTCTCTTCATAGCAATTGTGAATGGGAGTTCACTCATGATTTGGCTCTCTGTTTGTCTACTATTGGTGTATAGGAATGCTTGTGATTTTTGCACATTGATTTTTGTATGCTGAGACTTTGTTGAAGTTGCTTATCATCTTAAGGAGATTTGGGGCTGAGACAATGGGGTTTTCTAAATATACAATCATGTCATCTGCAAACCGAGAATGTTTGACTTCCTCTTCCTATTTGAATACCCTTTACTTCTTTCTCTTGCCTGATTGCCCTGGCCAGAACTTCCAATACTGTGTTGAATAGGAGTGGTGAGAGAGGTCATCTTTGTCTTGTGCCAGTTTTCAAAGGGAATGTTTCCAGCTTTTGCCCATTCAGTATGATATTGACTGTGGGTTTCTCATACATAGCTCTTATTATTTTGAGCTATTAATTAAGTTCCATCAATTCCTAGTTTATTGAGAGTTTTTAGTATGAAGTGGTGTTTAACTTTATCGAAGGCCTTTTCTGTGTCTATTGAGATAATCATGGGGTTTTTGTCATTGGTTTTATGTTATGGATTATGTTTATTGATTTGTGTATGTTGAACCAGACTGCATCCCAGGGATGAAGCCGACTTGATGTTGGTGGATAAGCTTTTTGATGTGGTGCTGGATTCGGTTTGCCAGTATTTTATTGAGGATTTTTGCACTGATGTTCATCAGAGATATTGGCCTGAAGTTTTCTTTTTTGTTGTAGTTGTGTCTCTGCCAGGTTTTGGTATCAGGATGACACTGGTCTCATAAAATGAGTTAGGGGGGAGTCCCTCTTTTTCCATTGTTTGGAATAGTTTCAGAAGGAAGGGCACCAGCTCCTCTTTGTACCTCTGATAGAATTCAGCTGTGAATTCGTCTGATCCTGGACTTTTTTTGGTTGGTAGGCTTTTAATTACTGCCTCAATTTCAGAACTTATTTTTGGTCTATTTAGGGATTTGACTTCTTCCTGGTTTAGTCTTCAGACCACTAGCGAGACTAATAAAGAAGAAAAGAGAGAAGAAACAAATAGACATAATAAAAAATGATAAAACCAATGATCCCACAGAAATACAAACTACCATCAGAGAATACTATAAACACCTATATGCAAATAACCTAAAAAATCTAGAAGAAATGTATAAATTCCTGGACACAAAACACTCTAAAAAGAGCATAAATAAGATGATAAAACATTAAAATAATGCAAATAATCTAAATCTAAAGTCACGAAATGAGGTGTAAATTCTGCGAAAACAAATGTGTTTTCTTTTTATGCTGTGAGGTTTATAAGAGTTTGCTTGGTAGTTTCTCTTTTCTTTCCATCTTTGCCACCCTTTTCTGCTTTTCACTAATTACTAGCCCTTCTATTATAACTGCAATAGCTGGGAACACAAATTGGTTTTCCAGTTTAATTGCTGAATACAAAAAGGGATTTAATAAACACATCAAATTAGGCCTTGAAAATGTTAATTTAATATTGTTTATCCCATAATTTAATGGATATATTTAGCCCTATGGTTATTTCCCTAGTTCTTTTTGGTTCTATATTTTCCTTATTTCCAGCCATAAACAGTTCCTTTTATGATATTCTATTAAGGGTGATGCTCTGTCAAGACACACATTATCACCTGTGACTTGATTTATTGTTGTGGGGAGGCATTATGAATTGTTCAATGTAGCATGCAGATGGTTACTTTGCAAAAATATTTATCAAAAGGTAGAAATTTCATTAGGGAATAAAATCCCTACATACAACAAAGAATAGTTGGAGGGTTTTGGTTCGTTAGTTTTAAAAGCAACACTGTACGTTTAAGCTAAGTCGGTATCCTTGGTGAAAAACATAGAAAAATAAAATAAAGACAAAATTAATTTAATAACTTGATTATTCATTATTCAAAGATAATAACCAATAATATGGAGGAATGCAAATGAAATTATTTGCAAACAAAGATTCAGGGTTTTTGGAGGGGGTTCTAATTATAACTCACTCATAAAATATTGTTCAAAAACATAATTTTTAAAGAACTTTATAAATTATTCCTTAATATGAACTAATTTTTTTTCCAAAATAATGACTTTTCTACAGGATATAACAAGTTAAATGAATAAAATTTAAATGTGATTATCACAACTTAAGTGTATGTAATTTAAAATGTTGCTTTAAAATATGTAACAAGCAAATAGATTAATTTTGATATGTGACAGTACATATTTTATATAATTTTAAAGGTATAGAGTTTTAAAAATCTAGTCTGAACATAATGAAATCTTTAAAATAATAGACATTATTACCCATTAATGAAAAGAAAAATGATATATCACATAATACCTTTGAACCAGCATAGAGGTACTCAAATTTTTTGTGTTGTTTTTGGATATTGAAATATTTCGTGTTGTTTTGAATATCAACCTGGCCAAGACTTCTATAGCTACACTGCAAGTCTGCACCTTTTGCTACTATGCCCTCTTTTCTTGGTCTTTCCATACTTCCATGATATCTACTTTGCTACATAGATCATTTGATTCATCAAGTTCAAGGGGTTCCATAGAGAGCAGGATTCTATATGTATATGAAAGTTCTGTCCAGCTATAGTAGAAAAATCACAGAATAAAATACTCAGAATATTGGAGCAAAGCCAAAATGATAAGCACTGTGTGCATTCAAGGAGTACTGATGACTAAAATTTTGTAAAATGGAATATGGTGTAGCATATGGTTATCACAGTCTAATTAACACATTCTCCACCAAAAGTAGATGCTCATCATATACAGGCCATAAATTTAAAAAAATCAGAGACAAATACAAAATAGTCATCATATGGAAGAAAGAACTGATCACAGAAGGTTGCCATTAACATTCCTTCATGTCTTCCAAGTTTACAAAATGACTGAATTTTTTATAGTGTAAAGAATGATTCCAGTAGCAGCAACTCAGGTCACCAGCATAATCCTTTGAGATTTATTTACCAAAAGTTTGCTTTTAAAAATGGTTGAATTTCATATTCATGTCTAAAAGAGATAAGCAGCCAATAGTGGAGAATCCAAAGCCAATTAAATAAGTTCCACAAAGCCACGAAGGGAAGTTATGCTGTTTTTGCAAGAGGTATCTCAGGTTCTCCTGCTTCTTTCTGAAGGAAGAGCTAAGAATGGAGATTAGACTATGGCTTTGGAAAACATGATGAGAGATTATCTTCTGGAGCCAGCATGTTTTTCTCACTTCTGCAGAGGCAAGTACAGCAATCACACAGGGATTAGCCTTGCTCTAGGTATTCTTTGTCCCTTCACTTAGTTGAACTTACTTGGATGGGGAGGGGAAAACAGGCTCAGAGAAAATCAAGATTCCTTAAATGCCTGATAACAATGCCTGGTGAGATAAATTAAAACTTCTCCCATCAGGTGAAACTTAAACTTTCACCTGCTAAACTGTATTACTTGGCCCATATTGGAGAGTTTAAGTAATAGAGAAATAAGTTTTACAAAGACTTCCAAATTTCACCTGCTCAAAGGAAAGGTGGAGGGAGATTTTTCTGGACATCATTACACACAGCATAAACTTAAGTATAGCTTGTTCTAGCACTCTTTTGCACTAATTGGGGCTTGTTTCAATTTGTTCCATGAGTCTCTGAGCAATACATGATTCAAAAATGGTTTTAGCCTTATAACAATAATGAGAGACATTTCATGTTTTCTCTGCTAGAGGTACACAACTTATCAAACCCATCTCCTGCAGTTTTGGCACCATAGGTCTGCTTTATAATTGTTGGCCAGACATTTATTAGCAAAACTCTACCTTCTTCTGGTATCTTAGCACTACCCTCTACCCCACTGGGTTTTATGACAGTGTTTTACAAATTATGAGTTGCCCCCAATCATAGAATATAAAATCAATTTAGTTGGCAATCATATAGATTTAAAGGGAATAAAAGAAGAAATACAAAAATACAACACAGAGTTAGTTTAAGTACTATTTTCCAGTTGTTGGGCTTTGACCTGATTATACATGTGTTTCTGTGTTCTGGGTTAGAATGGTGTATTAATCAGGGTTCTACAGATAACAGAATTAATAGGAGACACATATGTAGATATAATCAATCAATAGATCAATAACCCAGAATAAATATCTGGACAGATATCTGTACATATCTATATCTATATCTAAAGATATTTATTTTAGAAATTAGTTCACGTGGTTATGGAGTCTGACAACTTCCAAGATACACAGTCAGCAAATTGGAGCCCCAGGAAAAATGATGGTATAAATTCGAATCCAAGTCAGAGAAAAAGGAGAGCCAATACTGTAAATTCTAATCCAAGTCAGAGTTCAATGTCCCAGCTCAAAAACTGTCAGGCAGAGAGGAATTTTTTTCCCATTAATGGAGGAGTCAGCTTTTTGCTCTAGACTTCAACCGATTGGTTAAGTGTTACTCACATTAAAGAAGTTAATGTGCTTTACTGAGTGTACTGATTTAAATGTTAGTCTCATAAAAACACACTTTCACAGTGTGACTGGGCACCTCGTGGCCCAGTCAAGTTGACACATGAAATTAACTATAACAGGTCTATTCCTTATCAACTTGGAACCCATATGCAATTCCTTAAACCATACTTATTCTGCAAATAAAGAAAATGGCAAAGTCATAATCTGATTAATATGATTCAACTATCCTGAATACAACAGAAAACACACTAATTCCTTTGAGAGAGAAAGTATTTGAGTCTATAACTTAAATATTTCATTGGAAAATTACAATACATAAATACAATAATATAGAATCAATTTGTTTTATATTACTTGAAGAAATGAGAGAAAAGAAAACACAAAGATATCTGTTTAATATATTTCTATATATGGTACATAAATATTTATAAATAATTATATATTTATATACACATACAAATGCATAATAAAATATGAAGAAAATACTCATAACAACTAAAATCATCCTTCCTGTAACTGGTCATGTGGTTGTAACTGGTATTTATAACTATCTTCTTCCACTTCCTATTCTGTAATCCCTTTGCTTTCTATAAGCACCTCAGCTAATTGTGTGTATTTTACTTTTAGGGTTGCTCAAACTTTCATTCCTGAAGAGTCTGAGCCAAGAGTACTTCTTTCTGTATTGGGTTGTTGTAGTTGTCCATGGACCTTAATCACAGGGCATGGAAATACTAAAAGGCGCCCTGAATTTCAGACATAATCTTCCTTACATCCACAATGGAGTAATATTTCAATTTCTACTTAGTTATCAGGCTGAATCACCTCAGCTAGAAAAATAACTCTCTTTTGCATGTTGAGACAGACATAAAGAGTCCAAAGTGGTCAGGTAGCACTCTTAACTTCCAGTTCAATAGAATCAATGCTATGTCTCCTAGTAAAAGCATTCCTTTCTCTAAAACTGAGACCTCTCTAGGCCAGGAAGCATAAACTCATGGGAACAAGAATCAGATACTTGGCTGGAAGATCAGTGAAGTAATTTTTAGTAATACTATTCTCATGTCTAATGCTTGATTCCTGGTGCTGTTAATCCTAGCTGTGGGAAAAAGAACATTATAGATTAGACACAGAATCAGAGCATATATAACTTGTGATAATCAATTTTATGTGTCACCTTGACTGGTCTGAGAAATACCCAGAAAAATGGGAAAACACTAGTGGGGTGTGTGTCTGTGAGGTGTAACTGGAAGAGATTAGCCTTTGAATTGGTAAAGTGAGTGAAGATGATCAACTCTTACTAACGTTGGCAGGCATCATCCAATACATTGAGGAACCAAATAGAACAAAAAAATAGGAGAAGAACAAATTCTCTCACACTCTTTTGAGCTGGGATATATATTTCTCCTGCCTAGAACACCAAAGCTCCTGGGCCTTGGGCCTTAGGACTCCCCCTACTCTTTCCAGTTCTCAGGCCTTCAGCCTCAGCCTTGAAGTTGGCTCCCTGTTCTCAGACCTTTGAACTTAGACTGAATTATACCACCGGTGTTCCTAGTTCTTCAGCTCAGAGACAGTATATTATGGGAATACTTCATCTCCATAATTGTGAGCCAATTCCCATAAGAAATCTTCTCATATCACTCTGTACTTGGAAGTTATTGTCACCTAGCTAGTGCTGTAACTGAATTTTCTAAAGGCCATTCTACTGTTCTTCCAGAACAGCTGCTTCAGGTGGCAGACAATATTGTAAATCCAGTAAATTCTGTGAGCATGGCCCTTTGTCACACTTTTTTTTTTTTTTGTGGATGTTGCTGTGAAGTGAGTTCTTTGATCGGAAGCAATCCTGTGCAGAATACAATGACAGTGGATAAGTCCTTGGATGGTAATTTTAGCATAAGAATTATATGCAGGGAAGTCCTTGGCATAAGCATTACATTCTGTAAGTCCTTAGACGGTAGTTTTAGCATAAGCATTATGTGCAGGGAAGGCAAATTTATATTCAGAGTTTCTATTCCAGAAGAGACATAATGCTGGCCCTTACATGGTGGAAGTAGTCTAATGTAATCAACCTGCCACCAGGTCGCCAGCTTGATCATCCATGGGAATAGTGCCATATTTGGGATTCAGTGTTGGTCTCCTGCTGGCAGACTGTGCACTCAGCAGTAGCTGTAAGCAGGTAAATCTTATTGAGAAGAAATTCATGCTTCTAAGGGCATATATCAACGCCATCCCTGCCACTATGGCTATCGGTTCATGGGCCCTTATGCAATGACACGAGTGGCAGGGGAAAGAGGCTGACTGTTACCCACAAAACAGGCCATATCACCTGCTTTGTTTATTAAAATCCTTCTCTGCTGAAGTCATACTTTGGTGCATATTCACATGTGGTACAAATATCTGCATGTTTTTAACCTGTTCACAGAGGCTTATCCACATATCATTTTCCCAATTTTTTCATCAACAATGTTTCAATTGTTTTTCTTCCAAATTCCTTACCACACAGCCAAATTATTGGCCACTGCCCATGAACTGGTGTCCAATCATACATCTGGCCATTTTTGTTTCTAAACAAATTAAACATCTAGGTGCACTGTTCAAAGTTCTGTCCACTGGGAGGATTTTCTTTCATCACTATCCTCCAAGGATGTCCTAGAAAGGGGCTGTAGTGCTGCAGCTCTTTACTTTTGGATGATGCTTGCATTTTGTGCAGAACCATTTCTAAATCAGGGTTAATTTCTTCCTCTTGTCAACTGATTTTAAGTTGTAGGTGCAGGCTGGGAGAGAAAAGGCAGTGTAAGAGAAGTGAAGGCTACAGACATTTGACGTCTCCTTCATGTAACTTACTGATGCCTGCAGGGCTTCCTTAGGCCTGGACACATACATACCACTTCTGTTTGATGATGGAATGCTGCTGAGCATGCCCAACTTAATGGCTTGGTGAGTTAGGTAAGAGTTAGTTCATGATGGGCAGTTCAGGTTGCATACAAACTTTGTGGCCAATAGTTAAGCATTTAATTTCCATGAAGGTCCAGTCAGACGAAGAGCTAGTTATAAAATATTGAAGTTGATATCTGGAGAATAACAACACTAGGTTCCAAAATGCTAAAGGCCTGCACTGAAATAGACATATAAGGGTCTTCCAAAGGCTCCAAATTGCATTCCTATCTGATATCAAGACTTTAAGCCTCATTGGATCTGTAGAATCAAGTGGCAGAAGAATCTTTTACAATAGCTCGGACCTGTTGCAGAGTCTTTCATTTTTGTGAGCTCTCTTCAAAACTAGTAACTTTGGGGCTCACTCAATAAATAGGTTAGAGTAACATACCCAAACAAGGAATTTGTTGCCTTCAAAATACAAAGAAGCCCACTAGGCTTTGTGCCTCTTTTTTGGTTGCAGGCGGGACAAGATGCATCAACTTGTTTTTCATCTTAGAAGTGATATCTTTATATTTCCCAAACTACTGGATGTCTAGGTATTTCACTAAGATAGCAGATCCCTAAATTTTTGTCAGATTTATTCCCCACCCTTTGACATGAAAGTATCTTACCAATACGCTCAGAGTACTTACTAGTTTTTACTCGCTGGGTCCAATCAATTGTAATGCCATCAATGTAATGAACCAGCGTGATATCTTTTGGAAGAGAAAGGTGATCAAGACCCCTGTGAAATAAATTATAACATAGGGCTAGAGAGTTGATATACCTTCAGCTAGGCAGTGAAGGTCCATTGCTTACCTATTCAGCTGAAAACAAACTGATTCTGGTGGACCTTGTATACAGATATGGAGTAAAAGCATTTTCCACATCAATAGCTGCATACCAGGTACCAGGAAATGTGTAAATTTGCTCAAGCAATGAAAACACATTTGATATGGCAGCTGCAATAGGAGACATGTCTGGTTAAATGTTTGATAATTCACAGTCATTCACTAATATCTATCTGTTTTCTGCACTTCTCAAATAGGTGAGTGAAATGATAATGCGATGCCACTCACCATTCCTGCACCTTTCAAGGCTTTGATGTTGGCACTAATCTTAGCAATTCCTCCAGAAATGTGGTATTGCTTTTGATTTGCTATTTTTCTGGTAAAAGGCAGTTCTGATGGCTACCACTTGGTCTTTTCCATTATAATAGCCGTCACTCCATAGGTCAGGAAACAATATGGGGATTCTACAAGCTACTGAGTATATCTATTTCAATTTTACATTCTGGAACTGTAGAAATAACCACAGATTACATGCAGGGTCCCACAAATCCCACAATAAGGACTACTCAAACCAAACTCTTTTCATCATCTGACCTTCATATGCTCCTACCCTGGTTAGTAGACCACGGTAATGTTTTCAGTCTCCTGGAATGAGTATACTTCAGAGCCAGTACAGTTTCAGTAGTCCCTGAAAGGTCTGGCTATTTCATTTTCCCCAAAGCACAGTTATCCTGGAAAAAAAGGCTGTAGACCCCTTTGTGAAAGACTGGGAAAAAGATGTGCTATATCAATTTTTGTCCATGTACTGGGATTTTTCCTTAAGGGGACTGAGCTGCCCTTCATTCAAGAGGTTCAGGGCCTGTAAATTGTCTCAAGTGAGGGGCCATGACTGTTTTTATGATTCAGATTAGACTTTTGTTCTCATGACATGGAACTTTTCTGTTTACACAGGTCAAGTAAGGATTTAAGAGGCTTCCTATCTATTTCACTTCTACAAACACCATGATCAACTAGCCAACAGCATGGGGCTGCATGACTCACACCAATCTGACTGCTGCTGTGACTCTGCTGTTTCTATGGTAACCATACCCATCATGCTTTTGTAGGATGAGTGCTGATACAAGTGTCAGTGCCTGCCACCATGAGATCCAAATACTCCCATTGCATTTAGATTTCCCAAATCAGCCCCAACGTAAGGTCTAGCCTATGGAATTGTTTTCTTATTCTTGACATCATCTTAAAACATGTTTGAAAAATGCTAATTTTGAATCTGAAAATCTGTCTGCTTTTCTTATTCTCTAAGACATTTGTGATAAATTCCCAGTGAGAATTCCTTCTGTGACCTACTCAACATTCTTTGAAAAATTTCTGAATCTCAGCCACTATAAAATTAGGTAAAAGCTACAATGCTTCCCATTGTTTTCTTTAGGCAATGAGCCTAGACTTCCAATGTAGAAAGACAGACACAAAACATGTCTTGGTCCCTCTCACTACTTAATGATAGCAATTAAAGATCTCACTTTCTTCTCTAGGTTTCGCTCACTTCTTTTGCCATATTTTTTTTTCTTTTGAGATGAGAGGAAGTAATTTGGAGGAGTTATGCCCCACTCTATGTATGTAATCATTACTCAGTATCTGCTTCAAGATATTCCCTGTGGTGATTTTACTAAAACACACACAATTAAGCACAGGACTAGCTTTTTCTTAAAGCATTCTATTTCACACTGTATGTGCATTTCTGTGTTCTAGAAAAGTAGAAGTTATGGTTTAAAATATTCCACCTACCTCACTCAAAGACTTCCAAGCGGAAGTTTTGAGACAGAAATGGAAGAGACTAGGGCGTGGAAGGAGCATAAAAATCTCATTTAGTTTTGAAGACATGGTAAAGGAGGCAAAGAGAAACACAAGGCTAGATTACAGCAAGAAATTGAAGCAGGAAAATGCAATTACATTTTTCCAAGAGAAGGAGAAACCTATGTTGGAGCAAATTGAATGCAGTTCTCTCATTGAACTTGATGCCCTCAGAACATTTTGTATACAGACACTTTTAGGTGCAATGCCTAATTTACAGTTGGTAACTACATACTTATTTGAAAAAAAAATTTATATGTGGTGTTTTATATCAGAATAACAAAACAGAAAAAAAGGAACTCCTGATAATATGATATTCACTCATTATTACTTCTACTGAACATTTTTTATAAAACATCCTAATATTTAACAACTATCATTAGTTTAAAGGCAAACAGAGTTAAAAGAAGACTAAAAAAAAAACTAAAAAAAGAAAAAGAAACAAAAACTCTCTATTACTTTGTCAACTTGGCATTCAGTAATCCTTAGGGGAAACTTGACTTCTGAATTTAACTTAATAGGAAATCCCCTATGAACCCTGTCATGGGAATAACTATTACAGAATTTGACATAAGTGTAGACAAGTGGGATCATTGCAGCAGAAAAGTCTATGGCAATAAATTTATTTTTCTTGACATAAGAAATCTAAGTTTGGTGATTACCAATTAGGCAGCTAGAGAAAGTCGATGGGACAGTAAACTTGGAGCATAATTCTCCCTAGGGTGGAGGGGATGGGAAACAATCTCCATTAATGTTGAACAACTTAAAAAACATATAAGAGCAATTATTATTAGACTACTCAAATCTTTATTTCAGTTTACTGAAATAATCATTTGTGTCATAAAAGATAATGAGTTGGGAAAACAATCAATACTTTTATTGAAAAAATTCAAAAGTTATGAAACTATATCTGGATAATGTCTTGTACAACAGCAAACACTGAAACAATTGCTTACAATAGTTTTAGTAATAATAAAGATACAAATAAACCTTATAGAATCTATATATTAGTTCAAATGCTGTTTTTGAATATGAATGAATTAAATATTGAAAAAATTGATCTGTGATGCAATAAAGCAGCAACCAAAATTATCAATTATTGTAACACTCAAGATAGTGAAAAACATCATCATGCTCAAATCTAACGTTCATGTAAGAAAGAAAGTGTACTTAATTTTTTACAGTGTAAACAACTAGAAATAAAAATGCTTGAATTAAAGTCTTATATCTGTTAAGAATTAAACAGTTTGAAATTTTCCTCCATATTCAAGCTACCAAGTTAGTCCACCCCTGATGCTTGGATGCTAGTGGAAGACATGAGATTCCTGGGCCAGAGGAAAGACAGTATTATTACTCACAGCAATAGCAGTAGCCAGAGAATCAGCAATTTATTAAATGGCACTAGGGTCCTAATCCCCAATATCCACTGAGTAAGCTAAAATTGTCAGGTGACATCTATGCATCAAGTAGGCTGCTAGAGAACCTGAAGATACTATTCTGCACAGCAAGTATGTTGGTCAATTGCTTCAAAGGGAGACACTCCATATTTTAAGACTGTTGACACATAGACATCCTTGAGAAGATATTCCAGAAAAAAAAGTTAGCCTCTGCTCATAAGGTGTGCAGAAATGTGAGAGAGTCATAGAGAACTGTTAACTAACAACAGTTGTTTATTCAACTAGTGTACTGTTTGTGCTAAAAAAATTAAAAATTAAATATTTTTCCTTTTATGAGTACATTTTCAAAAAATTATTATTTCTTTACTTTACCTTGTGTTAAACCAGCGTTCTAAACTTTTTGCCATTATAACCCTTTCCCCAAGGTGCCTTTTAAGAAAGTGTTTTCTTCATGTACTCTCATAAAATTTTAACACCACAGATGTAATGTATATTTCTTTATGTACTGTTTATGTATCTGTACTTTATATACAAAAAGAGCAATATTTTTCACACTTCGAAAAGCATTTTTTTGGTCTCATGTGGGCAATGTCACCCCTGTTCAGAAGGAATTTGGTATACTAATAAAAATTACTTATTATATTGTTTTGAAGTAATAAAAATTAAAGATGACATTTTAGTGAATTTCTATTCAATTCTGTGTTAACTATAATCGTTAGTCAAATAACTATTATTTATTCATGAGTAATCTCTATAAAAGTAATAAAGAAAGTATATTAGTTCACTGATTCTTGACAACTGTTCAATTAGAGGATATTACTTTTACTGTCACTTTTTAATTATGAAGAAACTGATGTACTGAAAATTTTCATATTTTCCAAATCCATACCCCAAATAAGTAGAATGTAAGAGCTAGGATCTAACTCAGGAAGGCTGATTCTGACCCCATAATCCCTAAATTATGTAATTGATCTCACAGACAAGAATCTCATGAGATTTTTTTCTTACCCAATCTAAATCTCAATCTTATATATCTGAAAAAAATATACATATAAATTACTCTAAAAAGATGCTTTTTCTTTCAAAACAATTATTTTAGAGCATCAAGAAGGCAAATAAACATCTACAAATAAGAGTGGAAGATATAACAAGAAGCCAAAAGCAAAGCAAGAATTAAGATTTATTAGACTTAATATCAAATTCTTTTTCTTTTTTTTCTTTTTCTTTTTTTTTTTTTTTTGTGACAGACTCTCATTCTGTCTCCCAACCTGGAGTGCAATAGCACAATCTCAGCTCATTGCAACCTCCACCTCCCGGGTTCAAGGGATTCTCCTGCCTCAGTCTCCCGCGTAGCTGGGATTACAGATGCCTGCCACCACGCTCGGCTATTTTTGTACTTTTTAGTAGAGACGGGGTTTCACCAAGTTGGACAAGGTGGTCTGGAATTCCTTACCTCAAGTGATCTGCCTGCCTCGGTTTCCCAAAGTGGGCGGGAGGCATCGCGCCCGGCCTTATTTTCAAATTATATGACGTACTATGACTTTTCTATGTTCTTCCTTTTCCTTGTAAGGAAATCTTTTTGACAAATTTTTCTCATTTATGCCATTGATGTATTCTTCTAAAAAGAGTTCTTTTCTCTTTGCAAATAGTAGCATTATTCCTTGAACAGCGTTCACTCTCTGTGTCTTTTAATCTCAAAATGTTATCACGACTAAAATTCTAAACAGATTATACACACACCACGAGAGATATATATTTTTAAAACTCTCATAGATTTTAAACAAAATTCAACAGTTCATAATTTTTATATAATTTCTGAAGCCTTTAATCCTTTTTTAGGAAGATTAACACATTTAAAAAATAAACATAGCCAACATGAGCATTTAGAGTTTAGCAGTAATTTTTCTACCCATAATTATCAGAACACTAAAATAAATAGCAATCTGGATTATTGAGACATTATTATATGGATAAAAAACCCACAGAAGCTTTTCCTTTTCTACTTCAGGTGTACATGAACACTTTTTACCCTTTTTAAATAATGACTGATTATACTTTTCCTCTATCTTGTGGTGATGAGTTTTGTTTTTTGTCTTTTATTTTTCTTTAAAGAAATGAGAGAAGAGGCATAAAAAAAATTTAAACAAAGAATCAGCATAGGAAAAGATGAAAAAGCCATGGAGAAAAATCTGACAGGAACTACTGTTAAAAAGTGTCTCAGCTGTCAGGGCTGACAGTGTTGAGAATCCCCACAGCGCACTGCATCCTCAGGAATGTCTAATAACAGTGATGGTGTTGGGCGGATCCAGATTGTTGGGCATTTCCTCATGGCAATAAGGCTAGTTAATGTACCTTTGGAAAATATGCATTAATTTTATTTTACTTACATTGTGAATGGCATAATACATACATAATAAGATACACACTGCATATGGACAGGGAAATAATACAAATAAAATAAATAATAATATACTCACCATCTAGCTGAAGAAATGGAATGTTATCAATATCTTTGAAAGGCTTCATGTTTACCAAATCCTCATGAAGTAATACAAAAGGAAGCTTACTGTAGAAAGAGTCATGGCACTTGCCAATCTAACTCTATAATTCTATTATTTCTTTAAAATCTGAAGGTCACAGATTTGGAATTGAAGTAAACTAGTATAAACAAAAATTTATAAATATATGGAAAACACTTTGATGGATGAAAACTAATAATTCTATAAACCATGAGAGACAGGCTATAAGACAGCACAGTTACTGTGTTATTAGGCCATAATTTGTGTACAAAATATAGATCTTGGTTAAACAAAAGAAATAAAAATGTTATATCCTAGAAGCCTAGCTCTCATGACACCGTATTTAGTAAAAGAAGGGAAAATACCGGTTGCAGGTAATAGAACACTGACTTCAAAATGAGTAGGACAGACAACAGCCTAGTGTTAACAGTTGTGGTTGAATTCAAGCAACTTGCAATTACAGAAACCCTAAACTGGCTATCCAATGAAGAAAAACAAGCATTCTATGTTACCATCATATACAGGAGCTGGAAAAAAATTAAACTCTTTGAGATAGAGTAGAGTGATAATTACCAGAGGATGGGAACAGAAGTAGGGAGGAGAAAATAAAGAGAGACTGGTTAATGGGGATAAAATTTACCATTAGAATGCATAAAATCTAGTGATCGATTGCACAATAGGGTGACTTTTGTTAACAACAATTTATTGTGTACTTAAAAATAACTAAAATAATAGAATTGGAATATTCCCAACACAAAGAAATGATAAATTCTTGAGGAGAGGGATATCCCAGTTACCCTGATTTAAACATTATACACTGTAGCCTGTATCAAAATATCACATCTACCCTGTAAATATGTCCAACTATTATGTATTCATAATAATAAAAAATAAAAATCCAAGTGTTCCAACCCCAGAGGTTATTTTGGATATACTGATAAAAGAAGAAGTACAGAAACAACTTATGCAAATGTGCTCTGTAAGCAGAGAAAAATCTTACTCTATAGAAAGAAATTATGCCTATTCCATTAAGTGTTATGTAGGAGAATGTAGCGTTCTACACTATAAATATAAATATACACAACAGAAGAGGAGGTGTTTGTGAAGATAGAGTCAGGAATTGGACTGCGGCAGCCACAGACCAAGTAATGACAGGAGGAGTTTAAAAAGGCAAGAACAGATTCTCACCCGGAGACTCCAGAGAAAGTACACCCCAGCCAACACCTTAATTTCAGCCCATTGATATTGATTTCAGATTTTTGCCTCCATAACTGTGAGACAAAATCTTTCTGCTGTTTTTAAGCCACTCAGTTTTTGGGAATTTGTTGTAACAGCCTCTAGAAACCAATGCAGATTTGGGCATAGAGTGTGGATACAGAGAAATAGCAAAGCTCTTTCACGAGATCTATTCAGAGAACATAACACTGCCTAATGGGGACAGCTGGTTAGAGGAAACTTGTTTTTTAATAAAGTATGTAACATTTTGTTCTATAATAACCAAGAGTCAAAATCTAGCTAGCACAATTAATAGTAGCTGAGCACCTCTTTCGTTATAATAGGCATACACTAACACAAGTCAGAAAAGTCTACAGAATCAGCAGATCAAGGGTAAAATTTCAGAGTTTGGAACCCAATTCTTAGGTCCATTCTGACAAGGGAGAAATTATGAGGCTTGGTTGCCATGGGAAGTGTTTCATGGACAGGTTTCAAAAAGTCAAGTATTCTTATCATTGTCAATGATACTTCAACTAGGTAAAAGTTTTTAAAAATCTAGTTCAAAATGATGGCAGAGGAGGAATAATTTAGCTGGGAAGCAATTAGCATTATCAAGTGAATAGATTGCTTGTCTTGTGACTTGCCCAGATTGAATAATGTGAGAATGCAAAACAGAATGCTAATACATGAACGAGGTAAAGCACGGAAGCAGCATACACTGGAAAACAGGGAACAGTAGAGTAATCAAACTGAGACACTGTATGAAGATGATTAGAAACAGTAAAAGGCAGGGAGACCCAGGGAAGAAGAATTTGTGAATAGCCATCTAAGACATGCTGCACCAATTGAAAGACACCTACCAAGAACTATAAATTACTGCTTATTTCATCCTTCGGGTCTGAAGTATATTCTTGGTCAGCTAGGAGTAAGAACGTTATCTTAGTCATTTCAGGCTGCTATAAGAAAACTACCATAGACTGGGTGATTTAAACAACTGAAATATTTCTTCACAGTTCTGGAGACTGAGAAGCCCAAGATCGAGGTGCTGGCCAATTCAATTCCTAGCGCGGACCCTCTCCTGGTCTGCCTTCTTGCTGTGTCCTCACATAGCAGAGAGACAGAGAGGAAGCAAGTCCTCTAATACCTCTTCATATAAGGGCACTAATCCCACCATGAAGTTTCTACTTTTGTGACCTGAATAACTTCCATGGGTCTATCTCCAAATTCCACTGCAGTGGGGATTCGTGAATGCATATATAAATTTTGGAGGGACATAAACAGTGAGTCCATAGCAATTGCAGGTTTAATTTTGACAGGCTAAGCCTGTCAGCTTTTTCCAGATAATCCAGGCATAAAAGAAAATTTACGTGTATATCTGAGTTTAACATATCTTGGTATAGAGTCTAATTTACACCCTTAGTTTTCAGTACCACCATCTTCATTACGTTTTGCTTTAAATTTATTTTTAATAGTGAAATTTCTATATGTCTTAAAGTGATAAGCATTTTATAAGGAGTGATATGTATATATATCATTTTATAAAGAGTGATATATACATATCACATACACAACAGAAATGGAGGTGTGATACATATATAACTCCTTATAAAACATGTATCAGGTTGGTGCAAAAGTAATTGCAGTCTTTTCCATTGAAAGTAATGGCAGAAACCAGAACTGCTTTTGCACCAACGTATATATGTGATTTACTGAACAAATATTTTGTTCCTGACTTCTCTTTAGTAAGCATTTCTGGAGCTGACATTCTGCAATCTCTTTAAGAAACTAACAAAATTAACATGCACATAAGTTATATGTGTAAAATATTTTAGATATGAATGCATGCTACAGAAGTGAAGAAAGTAGGTAAGAGGAAGAGTGAGTTCTGGTGTGAAATGGGAGGTGAGGGCAGGTACGTTCGGTTCTTTTAAAAGTGTGCAAAAGAAATATTTTCAAAAGATGACATTTTAGCTCACCCTTGAAGGAAATGAGTTAATCCATGCAGTTCTCTAGAGACGAGCTATCTAACCAGGAGCAATAGTTCAAGGAAAGCACTGGGTTTGGAGGGGCTGCTGGGAGGCCAGGATGGCTGGATTGGAGAGAGCAAATAGAGAAAGGCAGTGGATTAACTCAAAGATGCAAAAGAAATCAGAGCTTGTGAACATCGTAGGGCTTTGGTTTTTAATCTGAATGAGATTCATTCTTGGAGTATTTGAGCCGAGAAATAACATGATGTAACCAGGAAGGGTAAAATTGTTATTCCCATCAGGCCAGATCCAGAACTACAAAACAAATAAAAAATATGCCACCTACATTAATCACTTGTTCATTCTGGAAAATATTTCTTTAAAAGAAACATTTTTGTTTCTCCTCACTCCCACCTCATTCTTTTCAGTTATTACTTGTGCTTATTTTTAGCTTCTAAAATATTTAATTCAAATTTCACATGTTGATACTTCTTAACACTCGAATATAATGCAACAAAGACATGATATTTTGGCACTATTGTGTCAACATACAAATAGTATTTTACACTATTTTACAATAATTTACCTCTATTCCTGCGTTGAAACTCTGTCAATGCATGTGTTTGTCATCAGATAATACCTAAAAACTAAATATATTCATTTTTTGATTTTATAAAGTAATCAATACTTTGCTCTCTGAATAGTTAACATGTATGTAACAAGATATTAAAAGGGAAAAGAAAACAATTCCTTATCAATAAATCATATGGCACTCAAATTAGAAAATGTATCCTGTATTGTCATAAACTATGTATAACCAAAAAATTAGACTCATAGGAGTTTTAACCTAATTTGATCGATGAGTAATCATATCTTTGTTCAAAGATAACAATCATAAAAAAGTCAGCTCATTTATGCATTTTGCATAGAAAATAACTTTGAAGTTTTGATTCGTTTTCATAGTTTATAAGATTTATCTCGAGTAAATAAATTTTTCTATCAAAACAAATCCCCAGGCCAAAATAAAACCCAGTGTTCACTTGTCAGGAAGACATCCATTCCTATGAGAAAAACTGCTGAATTTTCAATGTGCTTGATTGTACTATTTTCAGATCACACATTGACAAGCATTTTGCCCTGAAGATGGTATGGTCAAGCCTGCTTAAAATTCATAATTTTTTTTTTCTCCTTACCAAATGAAGAGCTCAGCATTGAAAATTTTATGTAGGTTAAACAATCCCCCCAAAACACTTTTAGTGTTACTGGAACCCTTGTTATCATGCAACCTGAACAACTTTGACAACTATTTCTCTACTTACCAGAATCTCATTACTATGAACCATGGTACACCATTTAATTTAAGATCTGCAGACAGTGTTGTTTTCTTGCACATGAACTTTAACTTTCCTTGTCAACTTGTGGAGTTGGATACATTGATTGGGAGTTAATCTTTTATACTTTCCTGTAAATATATACACCATTATAAAATATTGATCTGTATCACTGATTTTTAAATATTCAAATGGGATTGTTATAAAGTTTAAGCCTTTCATCATATAAGTAATGCTGTCATCCAAACTTAATAGTGTAAACTCTTATTTTAAAGTTAAATATTATAAATGCTGTGTAAGAGGTGCTTTTTAGCTAGCTTTGCAGATCCTAAGACAGAATCTGTCTTTTATATTGAAAGGGAGTTAGTCAACTAGTTTATGTTTCAAATATGAACTACAAGAGAATTTGATACATTGTGAAGACTAAAGGCTAAAATTTTGGATCACACTCTGGAAACAGAATTTTCTAGACCATATACATTAAAATGTTTATTAGTAAGCCTATATGTATGCATCTACTAATAAGATATACAGCATAGTACTACAGAAAAATATATTTTACCATCTGTAAAGAATCCCTGTGAGAATCTCTGGTCAGTATGGTTTAGAGCAGGGATCAAAACTCAAATATTCATATGTTGAACCTAAAGGAATAGCGTGTCCAGAATGAAACAGTTGCAATAGCAGTGATTGTGTTTCATCTAAAGCGAACAGCCTTTTGTACCATCCAGAAAAAGTCTGGATTTTCCAAAATTTTTCTATTCTTCAAGTAAAGCCATAACTCCTATTTTAAAATTGAGCAAAATTCTTGGATTAATTTTCTCTGGCTGTATAACAAATTACTTAGTGAATTAAACACCACTCATTTATTAGCTAATAGTTCTGTAGGCCAGAATTAACTGGTTCATCAAAGTTATTTGCTTAAGTTTTTCTAAGGCTGAAATGAAGATGCTGATAAGACTAGACTAATGTAGAGAGGATGTGAGGAAGAGTCTTCTGCAAGGCACAGTTAAGTTGATAAAATTCATTGTTTTATGTTTACAGTACTGAAGTCCCTGTTTCTTTGCTGACTGTCAGCTGGGGATTGCACTTGGCTGCTGGAGGACACTTGTATCTTTCATCACACGGCCCTCTCCATGTACAAACAAGCAACAGCAGGTAAAATACTTCTCACACCTGGAGTCTCTTTGACTTTCTCTTTTGCTACCAGCCAAAGAAAGCCAGAAAGTTTAACATTCCTTTTAGAGGGCTTCCGTGATTTGATTATGTCCACTCAGTTAATCACACTATTAATTAAAGTAGAGAGTTAACGGACTAGCAACCTTAATTACCTTTGAAAAAATCCTCACATAGAAAAGATTCCTTTTGTCATTTAAGGTAATGTATAATCATAACTCCAA
This sequence comes from Homo sapiens, assembly GCF_000001405.40. NCBI lineage: Eukaryota > Metazoa > Chordata > Mammalia > Primates > Hominidae > Homo > Homo sapiens. Next base: position 135,828,488 of record NC_000004.12, on the reverse strand, counting down.
TATCCAACATACTTTAATTCCAGAATTAGGTGGGGAATCTTGGGGAAATGGTGCTATATCAGAATTCTGCCTACCGCAATTCCCTAAGACATTGTGGGCCAAGCCAAAAATTTTTTCATAGGATGTATAGCTATTATTTAGACCTCAGCGAGCACAATTTTTGTTCTGGTCCAACCTGGATCTCACTCAGTGTAGAGATGCCCTGGTTCTTGCCCAACATCATTCTGTTTTTAGAATGTTTAATATTTCATTTCTGAATTTACAATCTAAATCTTCACATGGTTGATGACCAGTTATGTTTCTTAAGTATAACGTTCTTTTTTTTTTTTTTTCTTAAGAATTATTACACTGAGATATGCTGGCAAAGAGCTGGCAGCATGTACTTTCGAAAATTCTGAGAATGGATGTGGCCTCTTTCTTTGATTTGCCCATTGTGTGTACAAAAGCAATAATTAATTTACTTGTGTTTTCTGCCCTGCTGCTTTGTTCTTCTGCTCAATGAGAACTCTTACAATGCATTTGAATTTTAACATAAAGGGTTACTTCTGATTTAAAACTTAAGCAAAAATAGATTTTCCTTCTCTCTCAACTTTTCACAACCTTCACCGTCTGTAGTTGTCCTTGTCTACTACTTCACAGAAAAAGGAAAAGACAAAAAAAAAAAAAAAAAGTAATAGTCCATCAATTGGGGCTACCTTCAACTCGCTAGCAGCAAGTTTTTGTCTCTCCCTACATTTCCCACTTATAATGACAGGCACTGTCCTACTCTACAGGTAAAAAACTATGGCCAAAATAATAATGCTTATCTCATTCCTTCAGAGGCTGCAGAAGAGGGAAAACAATAAATAAACTCTGTGTGTATAACATGAGCTTGGGTAAGTATATGTAGAAAATAGATAAGAAAGCAGGAAGAGAATGATAAAGTGTTATCAACGTGGGATGAGGAGGGTTGCTCTTCAAAGGTTGGTGTTTAAGAAAGTCCTCCCTAAGACAGTGTTAATTGGGAAAAGACTTGAAGGCAATGAGGGAAACAATCAGCCACATTGGGGAGGAAGAGAGTTTGAGTCAGAAAACAGCAAGACTAAGGCTGTAAAGTTAAAGCATGTCTGATGTATTGGAGGAACAGTTTGGAGGGCTGTGTGGTTACAACATACGTGAAGAGAGAAGAGGAGAGTAGCAGAAGTCTAGATCTGCAAAGTACAAGCAGGGCCTTGCATGTCAAAGTAAAGACTAGTTTTTAATTCTCAGTGAAATAGGAAATCATTTGTTGATTTCGATCAGGCAATATGTTCTGACTTTAATTAATTAATTAATTAATTTTTTACTGTATGAAAGCAAAGTGGTATATGAGAGTTTTGTAACTCTTTTTTTTTTTTAATTTTTACTTTAAGTTCTGGGATGCATGTGCAGAACGTGCAGTTTTGTTACATAGGTATACACATGCCATGGTGGTTTTCTGTACTCATCAACCAGTCATCTAGGTTTTAAACCCCGCATGCATTAAGTATTTGTCTTAATGCTCTCCCTCACCTTGGCTCCCACCCCCTGACAGGCCCCAGTGTGTGATGTTCTCCTCCCTGTGTCCATGTGTTCTCATTGTTCAACTCCCACTTATAAGTGAGAATATGTGGTGTTTGATTTTCTGTTCCTGTGTTAGTTTGCTGAGAATAATGGCTCTCTCTGGGTGCTCTGTTGAAAGTTCACTGTAGCAGGCAAAAGGTGGCTAGTTGGGCACCATGGTGATTAGCCAGGCACTGTGCTAGTCTCTATTTCTGTCAAGTTTTTGGTAAAAAAATATGTGAAAAAAAATTATAACCTGGGTTTAAAATGTCAATACAAAAGAAATAACTGTAAATATATATATTTACATACATTTTATATATAAATATATATGTAGAAATATATATACATATTTGTAGAAATATATATACATATTTATATATGTATATACATACACATACAAACTTTGAATTTTTATGGCCCAGTATTAAATTTTATATTTCTAGGTTGAAATATAGAATTACAAGAAGTGACAGAATATGAAACTCCAAAGTGTCTTATTATACTTAAACAGAAAGTCACATATGAAGTTTATCATTGTTAGAGTGGGTTATCCCAATACCAATATTTTGGAAGATAAGGATACTTTTCAAGACTGAGATTGACTTGACATTCCAGTAATCTTTTAACTATTTTATAAATATAGATGAACACTATCTACATACCCAATGCCAATAACTTAGTGCAGGACAACAATTCTTGATTAAATTACTATTTAACAAGCACCTAACTGGGCTTTCTGTCACACATTTACTTTTGAAACAGCAGAGAGAATAATCCTTCTAAACCCTAAATAGCACACTATTTATAATTTTTTAATTTTTAATTTTTATGGATATACGATAGTTGTACATATTTACACATTACATGTACTATTTTTATACAAGTATACAATGTATAATAATTGAATCAGGGTAACAAGGATACCCATCACATCAAAAATTGGTCATTTATTTGTTTTGGGAACGTTCCAAGTCAGATCATTAATGCTCATGTTTCTTTTCCATGCATAATTTCACAATCTTTTATGACCCTCTCTATACCTTCCCTGGTAGTACCTATTATAATAAAATAAATCACTTAATTTAAATTATTATTTTTGTTGAAATATATAAGTTCATGAACGAAATGTGTTAAGCATGTTATAATGGTTTTGGCTAGCACAAATTAGAGTGTGCATTACATATAGATGCATCATGTTAAAGCATCTAATTACATACAGATGTGTAGATATTCTAATGCGATAGGTATAAAATTATAAAATTATTTGCTTATGCCATTTGGAATTACGTTTACACAGTGAGCCAAGATCATGCCACTGCACTCCAGTCGGGGCAACAGAGCGAGACTCCGTCTCAAAAAAAAAAAAAATACATTTACATCTCTTTATCTTTTAAGAGTTATGTATATAGTTTTTCAAACTGAATACTAAAAAAAATTAAAAAATATTAGAGAAAACACTAGATTAAAATCAAGTGCATTTTAAGTATGCTGGGTTGAAAATATGTACCCCAGGAAGCTGATTCTAATACTAGTTCACTATAAAATGAACAATATGAAGTTGACCCCTTTTAGATCACATTTAGGAGGGTTGGTTACTAATAAAACAAATTGTCATCATTATGGCTTGGCTTCATCTGTGAAATTTGGAAGACAGCTTTGAAATCCGGCTCTGCTGCACTTTCTAATTCACTGAAAACCACTGTGGGTTTATTTCTTCAGAGACATTGCTCATGTCTACATAAAGCAAGTATAGCTGAGCTTACTCTATTACAGAGTCTTGGAACAAATGGTTGTGACCCACATAACTTGCATTCTATTCTCTTTTAGAAACGTATATAATTTCTCAAGGGATCTTGTGAAATGCTGTGGAGTGCCAAACAGTATTACATGTCTAGGTGATAAAGGCTGAAGGTTGATACAGAAATATATAAATACACAGATATTATGGGAAGAGAGAAAGGGCATTTGAGGTCACTTTGGGGTGGTGAGAGTGCCGAGTTGAGCAGCCATGCTGGTCACCCTGATGCCATGTCACTTGCTTCATTGTCTCTATCTGAAATAAGGAGGTTGGTTTGATTGTATTGGGATTAACAGCTCATCATAAAACTAGAGATCCAAAATTAAAACTTTAAAATCAGATGCATATTTATTAGTATACTATTCAATTTTCTGTATGTTATGAGAAAGTTATTTTTTCTCAAACCTATATATAATACGCTAATTCTGAAATAAATTTACAAAAGAAAATAATTATTTGGATGTTATATTTTAATTTGTAACTGTATATATAATATCTCACTATCTGAAAACATCTTTTTAATTGTAGCACCTATAAATGGACCTTTTACTTTTTATCTTTATCAGTTGCATTAAATTGGGTTATACATATTTTACATTGAATGTCATTATATGCATAAATAGGTAAGATAGGTAGATAGGAATAAAATGGAAAATAATATAATCGAAAATTATAAATCACTGCAATATCTTCACTTTGAATTTCTGCCGTGCTCCAAAATGGTTCACCACAATGTTCACATTCTAGGTATCAGAATGAAGGAAAAGAGGATGTGAAACCACTGTTATTTCTTAAAGATCTGCCAAAGTCTGTTGGTTCCATTATTTGGGAGATAATCCTATGACAAAGAACTCTGGGATATACAGTCTTTACTCTGTACAAAAATGTAATCAGCTAAATTGCAACACTTAATTGCTAAGTCTGAAGAAGAAAAGTGGTGGATATTTGGGAATATCTTCAGGCTTTGCATAGACTATGTGCACAGATTGATGAGGATAGTATGACAATTAATAGTTTTGGTAAAATACCAAATACAGAATTGAAAGAATTTAAGTAAAATGTGCAATAATCCAGGATCATTAACTTCTTTCATTTAATAATCAATAACCTTTGTTATTTTTCTTCTCTCCTGTAAGAATGCCTATTCACAGATATTATACTTGCTCGGTAATTTATTATTGTCACTTAATATTTTGCTCATATAGTTGTCTTTTTTTCCCATCGTCCTAAATTTTAGGGAAATACTTAAGTTAGCTCTTCCAATTAATGGTTTTAATCTAAGCAGTTCAATATAGAAAGAAAATAAGTTATTAAAAATTGACTTTAGCACAAGTTAGTTGGATTGGAAAAATATATCCTTAGGGAACAAAGAAAACAAATATTAATTTAACCACAGATTTTTGAAGGTCGCAAACAAACTTTAGAGTGTCAATTTAACTAAATCCAACAAATGGTAAGATGTCTCCCATGAAAAATATAATGCATATCAGTTATAAGAAATAATTTGAATAAAAGTATTAAGTTGTGTGGATATAGTTTGTATCCATAAAAATATTGCAGTGTGAATAGATAAAAGAATTTATGAAAAAGTGGTGGAAATAAAAGGCCAAATAGTTGATTTATAATCAATTTCTATGGACATTGAATTTAGTGATCCCAATGGTTTGAACATTTTTACTTAGATAATACTGAGTTAATGACAGAAATATAAATAAGACAGTTGAGAGATAGGAACTACCTGGATTTATACTGCTAAGTCCCACTCAGTGTGGAAGTTGTGGTGTTTGAAGAAAAGAGTAGAGCCTGGAAAGCAGAGACTGATCAAGCAAGAATAGATGAAGACCTCAGCAAGACTGTGTTTTGGAATGAGAGGCAAATTGGGAAATAATTAATAGTTTACACATTGTATACAGCTGCTGAAAGACTATTGGTCATTATAAATGGCTCTAAAGTTAATCTTAAAGAAAAATATCAATAATAGCAGTAATTCTATAAAAATGTATTTAAAAGAGCATTTTGAGAGATCTTTCTAATCTAGTAAAGATGTAGAATAAGACATGGATAAAAGGGTAGATGAAAAACATCTTAACAAAAACATCAGAAACTTTCCATTATTATAAGTTGTTACTGTAGCTGATGGAAAAGTGATACACATTAAAGTCTATCAGTAATGTATTCTTAGTGTTTCATTATTTTGTATGTTTATCAGCAATTTTTAGCAATCTGTATTGGCAAAGAATAAATATTAAGATATCACAATCATCTTAAAAAGCTTAGAGTAACATTCACTGATTGTTGTTTCATTTGACAATATAGCATGAAGTTTCTATTAACATTAGTAATGTCAAACTCTTTTGCAGACAGATGAGATAGCAATATGTATTTAATGATATCTTGACAGTGTATTGATGATTGTATTGCAACATTTATATGGAGAGATAAGTATATTTTTATCTGCTGTCAGATGAAACCAGTGGAGAAAAATGTGCTTGAAATGTTTCACTGTTACTTTGTATGTCTTTGACATCAAGATTGAGAACAGCAGATTTAGTGAATAATAGCCTTTTATATTTTAGATGTTTATAAGGAAATGTATGATTAAATTAAGTTTCCCAGAGCTTGTTTCTTCAAGCAAAATAAATTATCTATTGCTGGATGTCTGTTGACACAAATATGAAGTCATAGTTATGGTTATATACTTATTTGCACATACCTTCTCCATTTTAATGGTATACAAATGATGTGATAATCTTATATACAGTAGTGGTACAAAAATAAGAAAGGTAAAATTGGCAAAGTGCAATCAGCAACAATGGCCACTCATGGAAATGATAAATTAGTATAATTTTATTCTAAAATTCGTTAATGAATTATACTTTATAAACACATTTTTATAAAAATTTTGTCATTTGCCATTGACATTTTAACAGTAATGCTAGAATTTCAGATAATTTTATTTTGTCAGTGAATGAACAAAGCATTTGGCGTATCAGAAAAGTTAATTCAATTGTAAAAGGAGTTGCCATTTATTTTAGTTGGGAATTGAATATTTCTGTCTTAGTTATTCATAAAACCTTGTACAAAATATAGTAAAAATTCAAAACAAACATAATAACTCAATGATATATAATCTACCTCAAACAGTTGGTATTTATTTAAGTATATTTTCTTCAGCATTGTAATTGGTAGATAGGTCTGCTGAGTACATAATTTGCCCCAAAATTTAATCATAGTTCTTTCAAACACCAAAGTTAAAAATGACTGCATTTTTCAAAATTCATTTAGGTCTCACTGAATTTTATCAAGCTTTTAATGTAGTTTACCATAATAAGTATAGTAAAATGTAAAGGCAGTAATCTCTAAAAATCTGAAATAGAAATATCAACACAAAATCTACTAAAGATTGAGAAAACAAGGAAATTTAGTTCTGAATTCAGCACAACGTAAACTTGAGCAACAATATTTATTCTCTGAGTTTTTAAAGCAAAGCATAAATAATAGTATCTTATATGTCTAACACTGAACAAAATGAAATCATGTCCAGTTCCCACGAATGAAATCTTCAAAGTATGCCTCAACTCTAAACAAATTTGTCCTCATTCTCTCGTTTCACAAGAGCACCAGCCACCAACATCTGCATGTGGACTACTGAAGTTGCCTTCCAGGTAGTCTTCTCCTTTCAATTTTAAGTACAGTCATGTACTGCAAAATGATGTTTTGGTCAAGGACAGACAACATATAGGAGAGTGGTCCCATAAGGTTGTAAAATCATATTTTTACTGTAAACTTCCTATATTTAGATGCACAAATACTCATCATTGTCTTAAAATTGCCTATAGTACTCAGTGCAGTAATATGCTGTACAGTTTTATAGCCTAGGAGTGATAGACTATACCATATGGTCTAGATGTGTGAGGGGCTATGCTATCATGGTTTGTGTAATTACTCTATGATGTTTGCTCAATATAGAAATCACCTAATGATTCATTTCTCAGAACATACACCAGTGGTTAAGAGATAGATGACTATATTCTTCCACATACACATAATACGTTCTTCACACAGAAGTTCAATTCTTTAAAACTGACATTTATTATATACTTTTTTTCCCCCAGAAAACCTCCAATGGCTACCCAAAACTCTCTAGAATAAAACATGGACTTCTTACTCTAAACTGTATGTCAATACGTTAACTGGTTATTGAACATACTATGACTTCTTTAATACTTTTCCCATCTTTTTAAAAATTCGGTTCACAATGACCTTTCTACCACTTTCCAATACCTCATAAAAACTCCTAAAGCAAAGATTCAACATTTGCTTTTTCAGAAACAAAACATTCTTCATTCTGATATTTGAATACCTTGCTTGATTTTTTTTAATGTATGAAAGGTCAGAAGTCTTTTCTTTTCTCACCAACCTGTATTTAATAAAAACAACCTCAATCTTCCATTAATCTTTTTCTTTACCATAGTTAACTTTCCTACCGAGAATTCAATGCTGTCGTTGTCATATATTTATTGATTTTTAGGTCTCTCTCCACTGGAACTGTTTTTGTCTACTCTGATGGGTCCACTACATAACATAATATCTAACACATATTGAGAATGCAATACAATTTTAGCCAATAAATGAAATAAATTATAATTGACAAAAAATTTCTAGCACTTAAAACTGAGAAAATTTCTTGAAAGGATTTTATACAGAGAATTAAAATATTAATCAATATCTGCAATAATCTACCTGATAGAACAGTAGGTTTTATAGAACTCTTTACTTCATGTACTAATTTCAGAGAATAACTCAGGAAAATCAATCTATTCTGGGTGAAGCTTAAGCGAAGGACATGCAAAACAATGTGATCTAACTTGCAGATTTGTGGAATTCCGGCTTGGTCTTTGCATAATAAGTAAATTAGAAGAATAAATGATGATGCCCTTCATACACTGTCCTTAAATTTCTTTCAATGGGGCTTTTGATCAAAGTTTGGCAATAAGTAATCTGAGGTTACATTTTCTGCAAAGACTTGGGAGCTTTAAATATAGCATTAAACCTACACCAAGAAGTAAATGAATTATAAATCACATAAATATATATTATTTAAAATATGTCCAGAGTTTTGAAGTTTGAAATTGAAACTTAAAATGACTGCTATATTTTTAATTGTCTGCTGTGGTTGAAAGCATTCCCTGTAGATCTTAGCTGGCTTTTCAACTGCAAAGACACCTTTATATGAAAGAAAAATGTTACAAATGATGTAGAAGGGTGGAGTCACTTTAGACATTTCTTTATTCCGTGTTAGAACTGTTTCTGAATCTTTAATCTTAAAAGTCCCTCAAGATTTTTTCTAAAAGTGGAGTCTACAAATATGTTTGTCTAGAAATATTTTTTCTCAATTTAAAATTGATAGTAGAAAAATAAATATAAAATTAAAACACAGATTTTGTAAAAAATATTGTTCTGTCTGTCTTCGCCCATATACACTTATTCTTAATTCTTTTTTTTTTTTTAATATAACAAAGCCCAGGTCAGCATAGTGTTTATTATGATCTAACTTTTTTCTTATTGTGAGGAATGAAGAAGAGAGTTGTCATTTTTTTCCCCAATTGTCCTGTCTCCGGTATGGCTAAAGGTTAAGATAAATCATTGGAATTTATTCTGGCAGTTTAAATCATTATAATTTTGCATCTAGATTAGATAGAATATACAAGGTTTTCCTTATAGTAACTTATTTCTCTTATTAGGAAATTAATGCCATACAAAATTTATCAATATTTAATGACAAATCCCAGTAATAAAAATAAACAAATTGGGGTAATATATACTGAAAATACTGTAGATGAGTGATTTAAAATTTTAGGCAGTACTGACTTTAGGTTTTAGTCTTTGATAACTTGAAAATTTCTTAGTGTTTTAAGTACTAGTGATTTTAGTTAACAAACATATTAATGATCATATTGTCCACACGTTATATTTTAAATAGCTTTTTTGTTTGTTATGATGTGCAATAGAACATCACTTTCATCAGATGCATCATGAAAAAGGAGAAATTCTCTTTAAAAGTGGTAACGTGTAGGATATTTTTCTTATTCAAGATATTTGTGTACACATTAGAATATTAAATATTATGAAAAGTTCTATAGATATAACAAAATAATGCAATCTGAAAATACACAACCACTTAACATTTCACAGAAGTAATCTTGACTAGGGTGCAAAATATGAAATGCAAAAAAAGAATCTTCCTCTCACACACATAAGAAAAATTATACACACATACTTGCATAAAGCCTACTCTAAAAATACAAATCGAATATTGTATTCTAATAAATATATATACTTGAAATGTATAGCTATTAGTAAAATACCTACATTTTAAAGATTGTTAAATATGCATTCAATGTGCATCAGGTACTGTGCAAATTTCTTAAAATGTACATCTCAGTTTAGCTTCCTTACAGTTCGACTGGATGGAGGAACTGAGGCTTGGTGATGTAAGTTAACTTGGTCAAAGATATTCAGCTTGTTATGGTGGAGTGAGAATTGTTTGACACCATGTTTCAATTCTTAAAGATGACTATATCTTTTTTCTAAGATCCCAGGTAAATCTAAGTAAATTTGAGATAAGAAAACATCTGCCAAATTTAGACAATAAAAACTAGCAATCAATCATTCAGGTTACTCTTTCTCATGTTATCTCTTACTCTGATAATAAAAATCTAATTTCTGAAGCAAATGAAAAGAGAAAGAGGCATATTTTTATTTATTTATTTTATTGTAGTAAACTATATATAGCATAATATTTACCATTTTTAAGTGTACAAATCAGTGGCAAACTTTTATGCAACCATCACCACTCTCTATCTCCAGAACTTTCTCATCATCCCAAATAGAAATTTTGTGCACATTAAACAGCTTTCTATTTTCCTATACCCTAGTCTCAGGTAGCCACTACACCTTCTGTCTTAGAATTAGGCTATTCCAAGTACCACATATAAATGGAATTGTACCATATTTGGTTTTCGTGTCTGGCTTATTCTACCTATCATCATAATGTTGTTATGGATCATTTATGTTGTAGAATGTATCAGAATTTCATTCTTTTTTAATGCTGAATAATATCCCATTATATGTATACACCCATTTTGTTTATCCATTAATTCATCCTTGAATATTTAGGTCTTTTACACATTTTTTTATTGTGAATAATGTGTTACCTGTCTTTTACACATTTTTGTTATTGTGAATAATGTGTTACCTGGATTTAGAATTATCTGTTTAAGTCCCTGCTTTCAATATGTTTGGGCATATATTCAGAAGGGGAATAGCTAGATCATATGATAATTCTAAGTATAATTCTTTTGAGAAACAGTCATACTGTTACCCACTACAACTTTACCATTTTGTATTTTCACCAACAGTGCACAAGTGTTCCAATTTTTCCACATTCTCACTAGTACTTGTTATTGGTCTTTTAATTATAGCCATCCTAATGAGTGTAAAGTGGTATCTCATTATGGTTTGATTTGCTTTTCCTCAATGTTTTGTGATGTTGGACATTGTTTCATGAGCTTATTGGCTATTTATGTTTCCTTTTGGTAAAAATTTCAATTCAAACATTTCCCCATATTTAATCAGGTTTTTTGAGGGGTTTGTTGTTGCCATCAAGTTTGATAAATTCTTTATACATTCTCACATACATGATTTACAAATATTTTCTCCCATTCTACAGGTTGCTTTTTCCTTCTGTTGATAGTGTCTTTTCATGCACAAAAGTTTTACATTTTAATGTAGTACAATTTATTTTACTTTCGTTACCTGTGCTTTTGGTGTCATATCAAAGAAATCATTGACAAGTCCAATGTTATGAAGCTTTTTCTTATGCTTTCTTCTAACAGTTTTATAATTTTAGCTCTTATGTTTAGATCTTTGATTCATTTTTAGTTAATTTTTGTATAAAGTGTAAGGTAAGGGTCCAACTTTATTAGTTTTACATTTCAATACCCAGTTTTCCCAGCCCCGTTCATTAAAAAGACTGGTCTTTTCCTTTCAGATGTCTTAGTATCCTTGGCAAAAATTATTTTACATACGAATAAAGATTTATTCCTGGGTATTCTATTCTATTCTATATTTCCATATGTATATCTTTATGCTAGTACCACACTGGTTTGATTACTGTAGATTTTTAGTAAATTTTGAAATCAGTAATTGTGAATCCTCCAACTTAGTTATTTATTTTCAAGATTATTTCATCTATTCAGGGTCCCTTGAGGTTCTATATAAATTTTAGCATGAGTTTTCCTGCATCTGTCAAATTGTCATTAAGATTTTGACAGAGATTTCTTTGAATCTACAGATTGGTTTGGGTAATTTTGACATCTTAACAATACAAAGTATTCAAATAGTAATGAGAACAACCTGGAAATGTAGAAGCAAACAAATGAACAAAAATCTTTCCCCCAAACTGTCAGGAAGCCTAGAAACCAAAGAGTAACTTGGACAAGTCCAGCTTGGTGAGTAGATGTGTTTATTAGGAAGTACATATGAGGCACTCCTGCATGTTAGTAAAGTAGCTTTAGAGATCCATGTTGCCCTTTTCTCTAAACTACTTCTAAGCTAATTGGCTGGCTCTTTGATTTTCTTCATAGGTTGTCAGATACTTGTGGAGGTGTTCAAGTTCTCAGGAACACCTGCTACCCTGCTGAGCCCATGGCCTTTGTTCACTGCCCTTCTTACAAGGTTCAGGCAGTGGACATACACCGTTGACTAGTTAGGTGGAGGACCTGTCACACTACACATTTAATAAACAGAGGGTGCCATTCCATTCATTTATGTCTTTAATTTTTGCAACAATGTTTTGTAGTTTTCAGTGTTCAAATCATTTGCTATATTGGTTATATTTATTCCCAAATTCTTTTTTTGTTGCTCTTGTAAATGAATTTTGTGAAATTTCCTGGGTTGTCCATTGTTTATACAGAAAGGAAACTAATTTTTGGACATTGATTTTGTATCCTGCCACTTTACTGAGTCTAATTATTAGTTCCGTGTGTGTGTGTGTGTGTGTGTGTGTGTGTGTGTATCTTTAGGGTTTTCTACATGTAAGATCATCTCCTTTCTTGACACAGATAATTTCACTTCCTTCTCTCTAATTTGGATGTCTTTTAATTTTTTTTCTTGTATAATATCTCCTTTTAAAGTTGCTCATTTCAACTGTCATAGAAAAATCGGACAAACCTTTTTTCAACTGTTTCCCTAAATTTGGATGAGGCTCAGAATTCCTGAATAAGACATATATACATGTCTAAAGTGCTGGTGTTGTCTGATGGTTCCACGGGTTGCACAGGGAGTATGGTGATATGGTTTGGCTGTATCCCCACCCGAATCTCATCTTGAATTGTAACTCCCACAATTCCTACATGTCATAGGAAGGACCCGCTGGGAGGTTATTGAATTATGGGTGCGAGTCTTTCCTGTGCTGTTCTTGTTATTGTGAATGGGTCTCACAAGATCTGATGGTTTTAAAAACGAATTTCTTTGCACAAGCTCTCTCTCTTTGCCTGCTGCCATCTACGTTATGATGTGACTTGCTCCTCCTTGCCTTCTGCCATGACTGTGAGGCATCCAAGTCCAATAAAGCTGTTTCTTTTGTAAAATGTCCAGTCTTGGGTATGTCTTTATCAGCAGCATGAAAATGGACTAATGCATATGGCTACGGAGGCCTCATGGAGCTTTAACTCATGGGAGAAGGCAAAGCCAAAGAAGGCATCTTAGATGTCCAGGACAGGAGGAGGAGAGAGACTGGGGAGGTGCTACACACTTTTAAACAGCCAGAACTCATGAGAACTCTATCATGAGAACAGCACTAGGGGGCTGGTGCTAAATGATTAGAATCCACCCCCGTTATCCAATCACCTCCCATCAGGCCCCACCTCCAACATTAGGGAATACAATCTGACATGAGATTTGGGTGGGGACACAGATCCAAACCCTATCAGTTGGCAACCTGTGATTAACAGAAACACCAAGATTCTAGAAAGGGCTGTAAGAAGAGTGGTCTCCAGATTTGGGCTGCAGTTACCATGAGGATATTTGAGAAGTCCCTATCCCATGCAGATACCACATGAAGACTCTTAGAGTGAACGATGGGACAGTAGCATCTTAAAAACGTATCCTGCTAATCCAGTGAGAGCAAGTTTTAAGCATTCAGATTTGAATGATTCCATTAAATATGAGCAATTTGTAACCAATATGGTTACAAGTGAAGACTAATATATACCATTTGACGTTTACGAAGAAAAGACACTCTTAAGAAGAAACTATAGACGTTTTTCAAGAAAACTGCAAGATGTCCTAAAACTATAAATCTGATCCAAAGGCAATGTGAATAACATGAGAGTTTCTTCAGGGAAAATATTGAAAACACTCAATTGTAAGAAGCATGTTAATGCTAATATAGAAAATAATAGTGATAGCAGCAAACTGAGACTAACGTGGCAAGGGACAGCAGGCTGTAGTAATTTGGGCTGTTACTGCCACAAGAGACTAATGAGGGCATCTGTGACAACGTAGAAGACAGTATTGTTCAAGTAATGAGTCCACTGAGAAATCAATTAAATACACAAAACAATATTATCAAATAAAATAATACAGTGACTTCAAGATTTGATACAACTGGGAGTTGAATATGTATGTTAGATCCATAGCAGATAAATTCCCCTGTACAGATAAAAAGAAGAAAAGCAGAATAAATACAATGAAGAAAAGCAGAGGGCATATCCATATGATCCAATACCTATAAAATACAAATTTTATATAAGTATAATAGAAAGTACAATGCAAATAAAAGAAAGTAATTATCAAAATAAAATAAAAACAAATTAATGATTTTTTTTCTTTTTGAGATGGAGTCTCGCACTGTCACCCAGGCAGGAGTTCAGTGACGCGATCTCAGCTAACTGCAACCTCTGCTTCCCGGGTTCAAGTGATTCTCCTGCCTCAGGTTCTTGAGTAGCTGGGATTACAGGTGTGCGCCACCACGTCCAGCTAATTTTTGTAGTATAGATGGTGTTTCACCATGTGGGCCACCCTGGTCTCAAACTCCTGACCTCATGATTTGCCTGCCTCGGCCTCCCAAAGCCATATGTCATTGGTTTTTTGATAGAGATTGCACTGAATCTATACATTGCTTTTGGTAGTATGGACATTTAACAATATTGATTCTCCCAATCCATGAACATGAAATAGTTTTTCATTTTTTTGTTTCCTCTAATATCTAGCATCATTCATCTACAATGAATAGCATTAATTGTAGAGATCTTTCACTTATTTGATTAAGTTTACTTCCAGGTATTTATTTTATTGCTTTTTTTCAGATTGTTTGCTGTTGGCATATAGAAATGCTACTAATTTGTATATATTGATTTTTTGTTCTGAAACCACTGAATTTATTTAACAGTTCAAATGTTTTTTGGTGAAGTCTTTAGGTTTCACCAAATATAAGATCATACCATCTGCAAACAAGGATAATTTGACTTCTTTCTTTTCCGATTTGGATGTCCTTTCTTTTTTCTTTCTTTTCTTTCTTTTCTTTCTTTCTTTCTTTCTTTCTTTCTTTCTTTCTTTCTTTCTTTCTTTCTTTCTTTCTTTCCTTCTCTTTCTTTCTTTCTTTATCTAGTTGCTCTATATAGGATTTCCAATAATATGTTGGATAACAGTGGTGACAGTGGGCTTCCTTTTCTTGTTCCTGATCTTAGAGGTAAGGCTTTCAGTTTTTCACCATTCAGTGTGATACTAGCTGTGTGTCTGTCATATATTTCTTTTATTGTGTTGAGGTATGTTCCTTCCATACCAGTTTATCCATGGATTTTATCATGAAAGGATGTTGAATGTTTTGAAATACTTTTTTCAGCATCAATTATCATATGGTTTTGTCCTTCATTCTGTTGATAGGATGTATAATATTCACTGATTAGCATATGTTGAACCATCCCTGCATCCCTGAGATAAATCCCACCTGGTCACAGTAAATGATTTTTAAATGTATTTTGAATTTGGTTTGCTAATATTTTGTTGACAATTTTTGCATCAATGCTCATCAGAAATATGGGCCTTTAGGCTTTGTTTGTTTGTTTGTTTGTTTTGGTTAGTTTGTTTCTTGATTGCTCTTAGCCTGGCTTTGTTTTCAGGTTAATACTGGCCTCACAGAATAGATTTGGAAGTATTCCCTCCTTCTCTACTTTTTTTTGAATGATTTAGGTAGGATTGGCATTAGTTCTTCTTTAAATATTTGATAAAATTTAGCAGTAAAGCATTGAGTCTTGGGCTTTTCTCTGCTGGGAGACTTTCTATTATGACTTTAATCTTGCTATGTGTTATTTTTCTGTGAAGATTTTCAATTTCTTCATAATTTAATCTTGATAGGTTTTACGTGTCTGTGAGTTTATTGATTTCTTCTATGTTTTCCAATTATTTGGCACATATTAGGTAATAGCAGCCTGTAATGATCCTTTGAATTTCTGCTGTATTGATTGTAATGTCACCTTTTTCATCTCTGATTTTATTTACGTGGGTCTTCTATTTTTCTTAGTCCAGGTAACAGCTTGTTCATTTTGTTTATTTCTTAAACAAAACAACTATTTTTTCATTGATGTTTGTTTTGTTTTCTTCCTTTCAATTTCATTTATTTCTGTGCTGATCTTTATAATTTATTTTCTTGTACCAATTTTTCTTACACTAAACCAAGAGCTTGGTTTGCTCTTGGTTTTTTAATTCTTTAAGAGGCATCATTAGGTTATTTATTTGAAGTTTTTCTACTCCAAAGGCCTTTGTTGTCTTGGTAATATCCAGAAAATTCCCTGGTTTACCAGGCAGAGACTCTTCTCTTCCCTTAATTTCTCCCAAACAAATGGAGTCTCTCTCTCTCTCTCTCTCTCTCTCTCTCTCTCTCTCTCTAACTCTCTCTCTCTCTTTCTCTCTTTGTTGAGCTGCCTGGATTTGGGGGAGTGGTGATACAGGTGCCCCTGTAGCCACCACCACATGGACTGTGCTGGGTGAGACCCTATACAAGCACTATACTGGGTCTCACCAAAGGCCCCCAGTGACCACTCTAGGTCTCACTGAAGGTCCATGGTGACCACTTCTGGGCTACCGCCTATGTTCACTCAAGGACTTAGGGCTCTACAATCAGCGAGTGGCAAATCTAGCCAGGATTTGGTTCTTCCCTTCCAGGCAGTGAGTTTTTCCAGGCCCCGGGTGAGTTCAGAGATGCCGTCCAGGAGCCATAACCTGAAATTTGGAAACTTAGGAATCTACCTGCTGCTCTTTTCTACTGTGGCTGAGCTGACACCCAAGCCACCAGACTAAGTCCTTCCTAATCTTTCCTCTCCTTAAGCAGAGAAGTCTATCCCTGTGGCCACCACCACACCAGTCTCATGGCATGTACTGCCTGGCTACCTCTAATGTTTACTGAGGTCCAAAGTCTCTTCATTCAGCCTATGGTAAATGCCGACAGTCCCGATTCTTTCCTTTCAGGGCAGTTGACTTCTGTCTGGCCAAGGGCAGGTCCAGAAATGCTATCCAAGAATCAAGGCCTGGGATCGAGGACCCCAGCATCCCCATGATGCTTTACCCTACTATGGCCAACCTGTTTCCCAAGCTAATTTTGGTTCTAATGAAGGTGATTTTTTGTGTGTGCAGAGTTGTTCAATGTGGTATTCCTGTAAAGGGGATGATTGAAGGAGGCTTGTTTTCAGCCATCTTGCCCTACATCCTTCCTAGCTGTATTTTTAAAATATAATATACCAAAATTTCCACACAATCCAAGAAAAAAATACCTAAGAAGTTAAATTTTCCACAGGAATCCCTATTCATAATTTGGCCCTTTTAACTTAAATTGTGCATCCTTTTTGAGAGCTTATCTTCTTTCAAACTACACCACTAGTAATCATGACATTTAACCTCTAGGTAAAAAATGACTCCATCTCAGTATCTATCCCCCTATTTTTGACTCTCCATTATTTAGTATAAGTTAAAGGCTCAGGAAGCTCAAAGCAATGTCTTTGGTACTCCAGTTTCTACAAAATAGACCAGGGTGAGGTTATTCTTTATCCCTTCAGTATCTACTCATGTTTGGTACACAGAGGAAGAAAGGTTAAAGGTGAGGCCTATGTATGTTCTCTCCCAGCCAAGGAAATTTGGAAAATGAATCACTTTAATCAGGCATCCTGACACATATGGTAACAGTATTTACAAGAAGGGGTGGCCATATCTCTAAAATGTTCTTGTCAAGTATTACAATGATCTGTCTAGATTATTTATGGAAAATAAATTTGAAAGGTATGAATTTATGGAACATGAATATGGGTGGTAGTCACATAGGCTGTGACTAATGAGAATATTCCAAAATCATAGTAGTTTCATTTTACAATAGTATTTCAAAATATAACTTAAAAATTTGCCCGTTTTTACTAAAGTCAAAAAGAAAAGGAGAGGAAAAACTTTCTGAGTGATCTACTTCATATTGTTTGGGGGCTCCTCCAGGAAAAGGATTGCCTCTGTCCCTGGAAAAATGATATAGCATAAGATACAGTTGTCTTGAGATCTCCTTCACAATTCACCCTTTTTGTTAGCACAAAGATACACTTCCCACTGTCCATAGTTTCATGAGTTATTGTTAAGTCAGGCATGTATTTACAAACATCTTTAAGATAAAGATAGTCTCATTGATATTTTAAATCTTTTAGGTCAAGATGAAAGAATAGTGCCTTTGTTAAGAGATACATGAATAGGTGCACATGCAGAGTTACCCACTTGCCTGGGGAATCATAGCAGCCAATTATGATAGACAGTAATAGTAATAGCAGTAGTAGTGCTGGTAGTAGCAGTAAATACAAAATTATTGAATTAATAAAGACAAATTCCAAACTTCATAAATTTGTCTAGAGGTAGGCCTGGGAACATAATCAGGCTGTGATAAAGTGTGCTACCTCAGTTGATAGTTGCTGGTAAACTGAATCAACCCCTCTTTCCTTGTATTTTTTTTTATTTTTATTTTTGAGACGGAGTCTCATTCTGTCACCCAGGCTGGAGTGCAGTGGCATGATCTCGGCTTACTGCAATCTCTGCCTCACGGGTTCCGGGTTCAGGTGATTCTCTTGTCTCAGACTCCCGAGTAGCTGGGACTATAGGTGCGTGCCACCACACCCGGCTAATTTTTTGTATTTTTAGTAGAGACGAGGTTTCACCGTGTTAGCCAGGATGATCTTGATCTCCTGACCTCAGGATCTGCCTGCCTGAGCTCCCAAAGTGCTGGGATTACAGGCGTGAGCCACCGCACCAGGTCTTTTTTTGCATTTTCACTGTAGCCATGGAGTAATTTAAACATCACAGACATTCTAGTTTATTGCTATCCTAATTAGTGTATAAATGAGAATTTTTTGAACAGAAAAATTTAAACCAAGGCACGAGGTGCATTTTAATAGTTGAAAATCAGAATTACTGGCCTGAGAAAAAATAGTATCACCTACTAGATATGTTTATGATAAGACATTTTTCAGAATCTGAGTATAGCAGGCACGAATAGTATGACGAATAACAGTACGTATCTATAAAAATTCTGAACATACTATTAAGCACTATTTATATTTTTTCCACTTATTCTGCTGATTTGTGTGTTTTAGTTTGTGTAATGTAAAACTTTCTGTAAACATTTCCATCAGCTGTGCAACATTTACAGAAATAACAAAATTAATTCAGACACCTGAGAGTTTATAGCGCTGAAAAACCTATTCATTTGTATCCAGGTTCCTGAAAAATTCTTTTAATAGATGAAGATAGGATGTTTGAAAAACCTATTCATTTATATCCAGGTTTCTGAAAACTTCTTTTAATAGATGAAGATAGCATTTTTAAAAATTAATAACAAGAAAGACAACATGTTTTAAACAGGCTATTGTTTTTAAGTGTGTCATTATTATTACTGCATATATAGTTTTGTGAAAGGTAGTGTTTTCAATTGTGTCCATAAGTATAAAAACCTAACCCCAGTTATTATGTGATATCAGCAGATATCACAGTAACAATTTATGTATTATTCAATAAGTAGTTTAATATAATTTCAGATATTTCCCCATTTAAACAATTATATTCTATTAACGTAGTTAATAGATATATTAAATTTCTTCCACTTAGAGGAAACTCGAGATATTTACTTACTAGGAATTTCAGGTATTTCCTTACTTAAAAATGTAACAAGTTGTATCTATTGTATTCCCCAGTGAGCCATCATTCATCCAGCCACAGATTTACAGAATACTTCTAAGGCGGTACATTTTTTCAGATAAATGAAATATAGCTCTTTAAGAGTTATGATGGACATTCCCAATGCAGACATCTGCCGAATTAATCACATTTTTTACACTTAAAAATTCCAGAAGTTGAAGAAAGACACAGAATTTTAAACTATTACCGTTGCACTACAATTCTATAATGCATAAAATAAAAGTATTTAAAATCTCCTGGGGATATATATCACAAGTCATCAACTCTTGAAGTCTGAACTCAGGATTTGCATACACACTGACAAGTTAAAACATCAATATGTTTTTAAGAAAGTTTATATTACAACACTTTTCAACCTTTCAGTTTTTTTGTATTAGCTTTCCTATGAAATATTTCTTTAATTATATTATTTGCAGATAAGTTATTAAAGCATCAATTATTCCATTTATGAAATAGTTCTAACTGTGCACAGCCATGTATAATTAACTGGGATTATCAGTCACTGACAATACTTTTGTTTTAGGGAAGGTATCATCCATGTGTGGAGTCTAGCTTAGAACTTGGCATATAGATGATAATCAAGAAAGGCCAATTGTCTCTTTAAATTTATAATCAAACCAGTTATACATGCTTGTAGTCTATATGGTAGGCCCTGGAAACAACTTAACCACAACACACATAACACTACTTATTAAGAGGGTTGGAGAAAAAGTTACATTTCTGTAATTAACATTAATATTATGATGATTTTGATTTTTGAAAGAGAATAAGTGAGTCAATGAACATTATTTTTAGAAAATATTATAAAATATTTTTAGAAAATTTGCAAAGCAGGTATTTTAGAAATACTCAAAAAATAGATAAATAGGCTAGACATGGTGCCTCATTCCTGTAATCCCAGCACTTCGGGAGGCTGAGGCAGGTGGATTGCTTTAGTCCAGGAATTGGAGACCAGTCTGGGTGACATGGGCAACCCCATCTCTACTGAAAAAAAAAAAAAATTAGTGGAGCATGGTGATGGGATCTGCAGTCCCAGCTACTCCAGAAGCTGAGGTGTGAGGATCAACTAAGCCCAGGCGGTAAAAGCTGCAGTGAGTCCTGATCTCTCTACTGTACTCCAGCCTGACAGAAGTGACACCTTGTCTCAAAAACAAACAAACAAGCAAAAACCCAAATAGATAAACTCTACAGCTCTACTTATCAGTTTATCTACTTATCTAACTAAAATATGTTTATAACGAGTATTAGAAATAGCTAATAGTTCTTGTTAAACGCCAGGTATCTAAATAGTGCTTTACAATTTAAAGTTCAATTTTAACCCAATGAGGTAGTTACTAGAAGGATCCTTATTTTATACAAAAGAAAATCTAAGAGAGAGTAAGTCCCTTCTTCAAAATCACATGTGTAAAGGAAATAATTTGTAAAAAAAAATAAAATTCAGATCTGGCAGTACTCCCCCTTGAGTCTAGAGTTTTAACTGCTATATAGTACTGCTGCTACATGAAATCTGCTTATGGCTTTCTTTATTTCAATGATAGCACCATCCTGTGTGTGTTAGTTCGTTTTCACACTGCTAATAAAGACATACCGGAGGCTGGGTAATTTATTAAAACAACAACAAAATAAGAAGTTTAATGCACTTACAATTCCACGTGGCTGGGAAGGCCTTACGATCATGGTGGAAGGTGAAACGCAAGACTTACATGGCAGCAGATGAGAGAATGAAAGCAAAGCGAAAGGGGAAATCCCCGATAAAATCATCAGATCTTGTGAGACTTATTCACTACCACGAGAACAGTGGGGGAAAACCACCCCCATGATTCAATTATTTCCCACCAGGTCCCTCCCACAACATGTGGGAATTATGGGAGCTAAAACTGAAGATGAGATTTGAGTGGGGACACAGCCAAATCATATCACGGTGCAAGCATCTATTACTGGTTACTTTTTGCTCCTGATAGCACCTTCTTCCAAACCTAGTTGCCAACAGTTCACCTATTCCAAGTCACATTTTCTTAAATTTCTTCTGATCCTTCATAATGGATTAGAGAAAATTGCTAATCAAACAAACTGAAGTTAGTTAGAAAATGAATCTTCCCCTTGTAATATACTGTTCTCCATTTAATCCTGTAGTGACTAATGTACATTATTTCAAGCAATACAGCAGGCTTGAGTCAGGTAACCTAACGTATATTTAAAATGTGACAATCAAGTTTGCAAAATATATCATTAACAGGTTATGAAAGTTATATGTTCATACCTCCTGGGATGGACATAGGATGATTGGCTATGTTTGTTCATTGACAACTAAAGAACAATAACATTTATTTAATACTATTGTAGGAAAGAAAAACTCAGGAAACTTCAGTAGGATCCATAGGTCTTTTCCTCTTAACAGACAAATTGAACTAATTATAGAAATGTCCTTGTCTATGATTATTATATATACACCACATGTGGTTACTTTGAAAATACATAAAGGAATTATAAAATGCATAGAATCCAGTACTAATTAACATTTGATACATGTTATATACAGTGATAATGGTGATGACATACATATAAAATTTGGATAGCTTATTGTCATGTGCTTAAGTTGTTTCAAGTAATACACTAAATATGTAAAGAAATTTTGGGAAGGACCACAAAATTTGTGCTAGGCCCTACTTGCTTCCCTCTTCCATGTTAAAAGTCATATCTTGTCCTGACCTACAACCTTTGTCACAGGTGAGTTCTTATAGCTGGGTTTCATAAGTAGTAAACATAAACATAATAACCTTTCCTTAGTCTAATATATTTGCCATCCTCAGTAAGTTGAACAAATGCATTTTTATGATGAGCTGCTAGCCAGAAACAAATTCTGAAATCCATCATCTCCTAAGTATACATAATTGCTTTAAATGCATTATGCTAAAATTTCAATCATAGTATCTCTATTATTTCAGAATCCATGTCAAACTAAGAAAAAAAGTCAGGAAAAATCATCACATTTCTTGAATGCAGGTATGTGCCAGCTGACATTTATATGTTCATATACTTACAAGTTTTCTATCTTTACAACAATTTTATATTAAGGTTACTTAAAATTTTAATTACTTAAAATTAAGTTATTTTATTGATATCTAGTACTTATAATTGCTTATTGAAAATTAGACTTTACAATCAAGCTTTATGAGTTCTGAGAAAGGGACTGAAGTCTGCTTTGTTTACTTTCTCAGAAACTTTCATAGTATCTTTCACATGTAAGGTGTCTAAAAATGTTTATATATTGAATGACTAAATGAAACCCATATAGTTAAATGCAAGTTTAAGTGCAAATTCATGCTCTTTCTGATAATTACCTGAAATCAGAAATTTATGCACATGAGATGAAATCAGATTGAAAAACATGCAATGGAAATGCATCGTTTCTGCTGTTCTGATCAGTGGAATGTAAAGTTGGTACTGTTTCCTCCGTCAATTCTCTGCGACCCTACAAAATTAAAGCTGCCAGTTTAAAACCTAATATGACTATCTCAAAAGCCTACATGGTATCAACCTCTTTTTCTTGGTGTTGTAAGTTAGATACCCAGAAAACAAACTTTGCTATGCTGAGAGTGTTGATGTAAAGGTTAATCATAACATTATCTAAGGAAAAATATGGGGAGAGTTGAAGGAAGCAATGGTGAACAGAGGGAGAAGTTGAACTGTGATGCAGATGCAGTGGAAAACTTACCCAAAAGAAGATCTGGACCAGTTGTGATGGTCCTGCATAGTGATCTAAATTATGGAAAGAACACCGGGGCTTTATAACCTACCATCAACTATTGGCTGTGCCTGCCATCAGGGAGGGGTGCATAATCTTTTAAGTGGTGGCTGGCTCTATTTGGCTACGTATAGTTTCTGAAAATAGACTTAGCTGAAAATAACATCTGTGTGTCATACCACAGCTTCCACTACCCAGAGGTTTTCAGTGTACTGATAAATAACAAAAGAAGTTTATCACCCTACTAAGTCCAATGGAAATCTTTGTAAAGTCTTAGGGTATGAACAGATGTCACTATTCCGGCATAGTTACTGTCAGTACTGAATACTGTTGAAGAAAATTCCTTACTATCCCATTACAGGAAATAGAATTTGTGTAGTTTCCTAGAATCAGATTATGTGTATAATTATCTTTCAAGACGGTGCTTAAATGTTTGCAGTAAACACTTATCTTAACTTCAAGAGCTGACAAAAGAAACATCCTCCTTGGAGTGGGAGCTGGATGATCTGTTGGGTAATGCCTTTAGACTTAACTCCAGAAATCTACCATTTGTGGTTTTACCTTTGCTCCAAGGTTCCTTATTTCTATCTCTGCAGAAGCTAGAAATTAAAAATTTCTAATTATTTTCTTTGTGGCCTCTTCCAGTTAGATCATCCAATACACACACACACACACACACACACACACACACACACACACACGCACACACTCAACCTAGTAATACTTATTATATTTTAATAATCCTAATGATAAGAAAAACATTTAACACCTATTATGTAACCAGAAATTTTCTAAGTTTCTAAGAGCCTTCATATGTTAAACTATATTAACTGGGGCAAAGCTAAACTGCTGTAACAAAGCATCCAAAATTATAGTTGTACAAAGACAATGAGTTCATTTTTCTTTCATGTAACAGTTACAATATTAATGTTCCCATCTCAGGGACAATTCTTCTCTTCACGGGTATTTGGGGCATTTAGCTTCCTTCTAAACCATTGCTCCACCACACTCGAGAGAATCAAGTCCTCTTCCACATGTTTGAAGCTCCACTATATTCTGACAGTTGAAAGAGAAGGTGGAGGTAGAGGGTTTATTTCTGATGTCATTATTCTCAAACCAAAAATGGCACACTCCACTTCTGTGCAAATTCCATTGGCAGATACTTAGCTACTTGTTTATAACTAACTGCAGAGGAAGCTGGTACAAAGTATCTGACTGAGCCAAAATGTGTCTGGCTATAATTATATTATAATGAATGAAGGAAAGAATCTTGGTGGAAAGCTAGCAGCTCCACTGGTTAATTCACTAGTGGCTTTTTCTTTGCTGTCGTTGTTTAATCTGCCTTTCCCCCCGCCCCTTTCCTCAGGTTCAAAATAAATATGTTCTAGTCTTTGTGGGAAACACTCCTCAAATGATAACGATCATAAATATTGTTTTAACCGTGGTATTCCTATTAAAGATAAAGTATTTGAAACCAAAATCAGGCACCATTTTTGTGCTGTATTCCCTGTCACTTCTTTTATTTCAAATCGGTGGCCAAGCTTTTTGAATGTGAGTGGTAGTGGTAAGCAGAGGAAGGGCAAAAATTAAGACAAACGACAAAAATTGTCAGTGTTTCAAAAATATTGGTCTGCTATGGAGGCCTAAGTATTCCAGAGACTAAATATGTCATCCGATTGACCAATGCTTTTAACAAGTCATGTGAAAAGACAAGAAAATAGCAGGAAAGAGGGTCCCACCAGAAATCCTTGAACTGTTTCTCTGCAACCCAAGCAAATCAAATAAATCGTATTATCAGTCCTGCTTCTTGCCCTTCTATTAACTTATCTTTGCCTTGACTATAATTACATATATGGAATTTTCTTTAATATAACATCATATTCATAAGACATAAAAAGAGTTAACTGATAAGTCTGCATTTGATGACTAGGAATATATTAATTAAGGCATTCTTTTCACTCTGTAAGAGCTTGTTCCAGTGATTAAAAGTATTTCAGTTAACTTTAAATACTAGGAGAGACCTTATAGGTCATTCAGCTAAGTTTCATTTTAAAGATTAGGAAGCTATTGGACAAAGTTGTTAAATAGTTTGCACAATATCATGTAGCTTATGTATTTCAGGTCAGGATTGCCACCTTGGTTTACTGACCCATTCTAATATTCATTCCAGTGCAACTCACTGCATTTCCATTCTCTTCCTCGCTTCTTTTTCAGCATAATTGTCCTTGTCATTCACTTTCTAAACATCTGACATCTTAATGAACATTTCTAACATCAGAATTTGGAAGCTGAGGAGAACTCCATTTTTTTCCTATAATTCAATCTTCCTTTAAAGTGATATTTCCCAAAGTATGTTAAATTCTCATTTTTTTCAGAAATGTTTTATACCAAATAGATTATGGGGGAATTACCTTGGGAAATGTTGTGCATTATGACTTTTCTGAGATGTATAATATATAATAGCATGTTAAATGCTTTATGCAATAATTTCTCCTAAATAGAAAGTGTTTAAATTTGCATAAAACACCATTTTTGAAAATTATATTTAATATCTTTTTTCTCTTTGCACCTATAACATTTGACTGCTCCATGTATTCCTTGGAAAAACTACCTCAGGCTTAAGATCTACTAGTCTTATGAGGTCTCTAAAATTGAAGGAATGATCAATCTGGAAATAGCATTTGATATACTTAGGCTTACCAATAAAACCCATTATTAGAATTTAAGATGTCCGTCCAGGACACTGATCATTAATTCAATAAACATTTTTAAAGACCCAGTGTGATTTATATTAATAAAATTTCATGTCACATACTGCCATTGTGTTCACTGATGATTCTAGCATATTTTGGTATGAAGGGAAACTTTGGAATACGTGTCTCTCATATGTTTGTGTGTGTGTACACACACACACACATATATATATATGCCAATTTACAAACTGTCAGAAGAAAGGGGAGGTGAGGTTGTACTAAAGCAAGATAAATGTGATATATGCAATAAGTATAATAAAGTAATATATGTAATGAATAAATATTTGGATTATGTCAATATATACCTAAACTTAAGGATTAATACAAAAGCATCTGAGAAATAATACTGCAGAGAAATAAATACATCTTGTTTTGTTTTGCTTTGTTTTTTTGAGACAGAGTCTCACTCTGTCACCCAGGGTGGTGTACAGTGGCACAATCTCAGCCCACTGAAAACTATACCTCCCGGATTCGAGCGATCCACCCACCTTAGCCTCCAGAGTAGCTGGGGTTACAGGTGTGTTTCACCATGCTCAGTTAATTTTTATATTTTTAGTAGAGACAAAGTTTCACCGTGTTAGCCAGGCTGGTCTCGAACTCCTGACCTCAAGCGATCAGCCTGCTTTGGCCTCCCAAAGTGCCGGGATTACACAATTTTTATCTCTATTGCTATCTCTATATACTCAAAGTATCATTTCAAGAATAACAACAATTAAAATACATAGTTAGCTAATATTTAATAGTACATTATATCATTAAGAACATTGTATTGGTGGGCAAAATACAAATAAAGATTGTGAATTTTGAAATATTTAATTATAAAAGTCAACTTGTGATTCAATTTTATTTAGAATTTATTAATTTGTATTTTTTATTTTATTTTTTATTTTTATATAGACTAATGTTGGAAGTGACATTAATTTTATAATATACTCTTTTTACCAGGTTTCCTAAAATGCCTATGATTTTAAAATATTATGCTAAATATAAAATTTCTAAGCACTTTGCAATAGCAACAATAATTATAATTATTAATATTCACTATCTTAAAACCATTTAATTTTTACATATAAAAGTTACATTTTTGTAACTTGGTTTATGAATTCAAGTTAACTCCTAATATGGTTTTTTTCTTTTTTTTTTTAGATGAAGTCTCACTCTTGTCCCCCAGGCTGGAGTGCAATGGCGTGATCTCAGCTCACCGCAACCTCCACCTCCTGGCTTTAAGCAATCCTCCTGCCTCAGCCTCCTGAGTAACTGGGATTACAGGCACCTGCCACCATGGCTGGCTAATTTTTTTTTGGTTTTTTTTTTTTTTGTATTTTTAGTAGAGATGGGGTTTCACCATGTTGGCCAGGCTGATCTCAAACTCCTGACCTCAGGTGATCCACCCGCTTGGCCTCCCAAAGTGCTGGGATTACAGGCGTGAGCCACCGTGCCCAGCCTGATACAGCTTTTCAATAAGCCCAAATAATTTACAAAGAATAACTGCTTTAAGTTTATTTTCTGCTTTGTTTCGAGTCTTTTTCAGTTTTTTTTTAAAAAAATGTTTAATACACGTAAACCACGAATGCTTGCAAAACAATACTTGAGAAAGCTATACTTCTTGCATTCAGTGTAGTGACAAAGAAAAGGAGTAGCTGAAATTCTGTATAAGTTTTCTAGGGTTGTAGTATGATGAAAGGAGAGCAAAGAGTTTTAGTTCTTTATTTCTAAACTTTAATTCTATCTAGCAGCATTTTTGTTACAGTCCTGCTGAATTTTGTTAGTAAAGTAAATTGGCTGATTAGAAGATAAAATATTATCCACTGCTAGAATTTCTAAATCTTTTATACTTTAGAATCACCCAGATTGCTTTTAAAGATTCTTCATTGTTCTTCCATCTAATAAGTATTAAATCAGATATATGGGCTGAAATCTAGTAATGTATTTTTTAAGTCTCACAGTTAATTTTCACTAAAATTCCTGAGGCATGATACTTGGCAATAAATAACTTTTGATATTTTATCATCTTAAATGAGAGTTATTTGAATGATTACAGGACATAAACATTCTGATACAGTATGTCTTTAATAAGTCGTGACAGTCTTCTGAAGGAAATGAAGAAGTGTAGGGCTTGAGGTCAGAGATGATAGATTCTAATTCAATTGCTACAATGAACAAAAAAGCCAGGGCATTTGTGTGGTAATTCCTCTCACAGCTCTTGATAGGATTTCTTTGGGAATATTTATAACACCTGCAAAAATGATAAAGTAATTGTTCAAAGAAAATTAATAATATAATTAATTTATGTAAGAAAAGAGTAAGCAGTCATTTGCATATAAAGTTGGAAAATTCTCTTTCCCCTCAAATCCTAATCTTAAGCATGTTGGACCTAGAAAGAAATGTAAGGTTTTTATTTATCCTTCATGTATATAAAAATAATTCTAATATTCCAGTTGGAATCCCTTAAAATACCAACCATTCTTAGCTATATAATCATTGTTGGCTACCAAAATGAATAGGGACGTTTCTTGCTTTCTCTAAAAGGCGGTTTTCAACTCTACAGTGTTTTCATCACTCATAGTGGAACGAAATCCTGTTTACTGTCATTTGAGTGCTTGGGAAGCCCAATATCTTTTTCCTTTCAGTTTTTTTATTTGCTCAGAAGGAAATAACTTCTGGTCTTCTTAGTTTTCATGTCATATGCCCACATTTCTTTTATTTATACACCTAAGTTTTCAAATACATACATAGGTGTTACTCAGAAAAGAGGGATCACTATTAAATATGTCACTCCAATAACTTTTTGTTTCTTTCACTGACCTGAAAATATTATCCACTGCTATGATTTCTAAATCTTTTATACTTTAGAATAACTCAGATTACTTTTAAAAATTATTAATTGTTCTCCCCTCTAAGAAGTATTACATCAGTATGCTGGGCTTAGACCCACTAATATATTTTTAAATTCCCACAGATAATTTCGACTAAAATTCCTAAGGCATGATACTTGGCAATAAATAATTTTCTCTATTTTAATTACAAAAATAATTTTACCAATAGATGATGGACTGTAATAACTAATTACAATAATTTTAATAATAATTCCAACAGCATACCAAATGGGTAATTACATATTAACAAATCAGATCCTTTGCTTATAGTGGATAAGAAAGATATTTTGTCAATATGTTTCTTATATAGCTAAACATGATATTTTCTTTTAATTTTATCTTTGAACTTCTGCAAAAATAAGAAAAATAGCTTGCACATGGAAAATGCACATATCTAGGCTACTAAGTAAATTTCATGATTCTGATGTTAATCAAATTTCTATATGTATACGTATGTGTACACGTATATAGATATATCTGTTCAATGTTTAAAGACACTAAAATAAAATATTTAATTTCTTGAACATAGTTTAGTATGTTGGTAAAATATGGTAATATAATCAAAGATAAAATGATTAGTATATCTTGAGCAAATATAGTAAGACTTGATAAAGTTACATAGTTAAGTCAACCAAGAAAACTGAAAAGCTACACTAAATGATATTGGTCAATATTTCCAGTCAGGGCAGATTATTAAACAAGTCTGAAATCTCAGTGGCTTGCACATTTCATCTCCAAGACCTGAAGTCTCCTCCACATCATTTTTTTTATTTCCTACAACAATACCCTAACCACTGTACCCATTTATTATTTTTGCATTTCTGTTCAATATCTGATCTATAGGGTGTGGGGTGCATACATGTATTATCTTTGTCATGTGTTTGAAGTAAAGAGTGTGATTAAAATTTTGAAAGAAATCTTAGAAAATAGATATTTAAAATTCATTTACTACTCTCAAATCCCCATGATCTCAGCCTTTGAAATATCTTTCGTCATCGAACTTTCTCTCTTCCCTTTCATTTTAGTATGTTATTTCTAAAGTGCAGACATGATTTCCCTGATTAACATTTCCTATGTTTGAAGACTAAACTTGTTTAAATTGGTCTTCCACAATCTGAGGAGCATTCTCCCTCCCTAACTTCCTTTTCTGTCTCACTCTTCATAAATTTCAGCAATTCAATCATACAGGGCTTTTTACAGTTTTTCAAATGAAACGTTCTCTTACTATTTTATCTTGATCAATTCCAGTTGTTACTCTCAATTTAATGAGTAACGACAATGAAGTACATCTGCATATTTTTGATGATTCACCAAATATATCTACATAAGCATGTATATTTTAGCGATAAGCCAACAAACAAAAAGTAAAATAACTTGTATGTAAATATAATTTTAAAGTTTATTATATTAAATATGCATTGATCAATAACAGTGCTAAAAAATCCATGGTGACATTTGAATAAATCAGGCTTTGGGGGTTCCGTTTTCATGTCTTAAAGTTGGAACTATTATAATATAATTTTAGATTTTCCTCCAGACATCTTCTGTTGGTTTATCTGTTCATGTTAAAAAGTGCATTTGAAATAAGAACATTTGAAATGCCATAGCATATGCTCAGGAAGATTTCAACCACATATATTTTTATTTTTCCCTAGAGCATCTATCATATAAGTAATATAAGAGCTAAAACTGAATAAGGGATTGAACAAAACAATAAACATTGAGATTTTGTTGTTTGTATTTTGAAATTCTATTTATACTATATGGATCAAATATAATTAATATTTTTTTAGCTTTCAAATCTAATTATGGCTGGTAAACTGTAAAGCTAGTGACTGCTTTCTTCTGTGTATTTCTAGATAAATGTTTTTTAGGGAGTATACTTGAATATTTACCATATAGTTTAAGGAATATGTTAAGGTTAACTTATTCTAAAACATGTTCAATGTCTCACAACTTAGATGTTTTTAAAGAACAAGGTTAATGAAAAATATTTCATGTATTCAAATGTCACTTCAGAGTGCATAGAGGATCTAAAATTATAAACAAGATTTTCTAAGAATCTTTCACTGGGGATGCTTTAAAACTAAAGAAGGATGATCAGAAATAAACTTCAGGCACAAACATTAAATTGCCTGAGCAGCCCCTGTCCATAATTTTCAATTCATGGGGGAAAAAACCTGTCATTGCTGAAACATAACCCTATCATCCAATTTTCTTTTCACTTATAATGACCTCAGGAGTAAAATCAAATATCACTTGCAAAGTTAGAAAAGATTCAAAAAAACTTTCTCATACAAAAAAAATCAAAATTTTTATCAAGACTGTTTATGAAAAAATCTTATTTATGATCCAAATTTTCCTATTATATTTCAACTTAAAAGTGAGTTTTAGCTTAATATCATTCTCCTGATCAAGATAATGTTTTCTCAATCCATTATCTAAACACCTTTCTACAATCTATATGATCTAGTTCATTTTTATCTCCCCAGTATCCTTGTCAGTATCATCCCATCTTGGATTCCCTCTCCTCTTGATTCTTGCAGCACATTAGCTCATATTGTATGCTAATTACATTCAACTTTTAAAACTTTCCTAATGTTCTATGTTTTTATTCTTATTATGTCCAATCATCCAGAGGGAATTTTAAAGATAGTGATTGTGTCTCCAATTCCTTACACAATCCTAATTCTGCCTAGTAGAACTAAATAAGTGGCAGGCAGCTAGCATGATCGTTGCAAGAATAATTTAGTAATCAATTCAGTGATTCAGGTTGTATCTGAAAAAAAAAATTGACCACAATAAACCTACTTTGTATATGCATTACATTTCCAAGTCCTTTATTCATTCTTTTTCTTATAACTTTTCCTATTTATTTTCATCTTACCTATGACTTATCCATGAAACTTGGATTAATATATATTCATTTCTTTACTCAATAGCATTTAACACTAAACAGTTTGCTGAAAATTTGATTAATTTACTTTAAATGAGGTAAATATATCAAGAATATATTTTTACTGTCTATTTTAAATGCAAATATCAAGAAGTGATACAAAATAGCCATTGGAAATAGTTATTTCTAATAACTCTTTTTGTCTTTTGCTCTTTATTTCCCAAAAGACTTCATGATTTTAAATATTATGTATACTAGAGTAGATTTGTTAGGAAATAGGTAAACATCTTTTTCTTATTATAGTATTATTACTACTCTGAGCCAATGCAAACTTAGAACACAGTAAAATAATTCGAGACTTAGCTAGCATCAATTTGACTAAATATATGGTGTCTGCTAAGTTCAATAAAATAGAACATGTTGTTCATAGACCTTTTATTTTTGGAAATTTCTAGGGATTGTACGTCCATAGAATTGTGAATCATCATGTAACTCACATAGGTGTTTCAGTTTTCTTTGGTTTTGTTTTAAAATAACTGTGATTTAATTTAGCTGCATTTGACAACTACTTCCTGGAAATATAAGTATACATTTACAGCCTTCATTTATTCTCAAATACATAAAATATTTGTGTATTTGCAACTTGCAGGGTTGGGGAGTGGCAGGATAAAACGATTCAAATGATTGGGTGCAAATGAAATTGGTTTCTGTTTCCCAGGAGTTTTGTAAATAATGGACTTAACCCTACATAATGAACCAGATGCTTCTGAGAAGGAGAGTTATTTTTTGGAAATAAGTGCTTGAGGATGCATACCTTAGGTCACTAGAGTACTATTTAGTGTGCTATAATAACACTAAATGAGTGCACTGTCTTAAAGGAGTGGATGTGCCTTCTTAATCATTTAACCTTCTATAGTATCAGTAATATATACACAGGCTGAAGTTGTTTCCTGCTGTGATGTGAATGTTTTAAATAAATATACAATTTTGTTTGCCTAATTTTTTTAAACCAAGGTAAAACTGCCTTAAATCTCTAAAGATATGTTTCTTATCTGTCTTTGTAACAAATAACACATTAAAAATGCATGACTAGGTATAAATGGTGTCTCAAATGGGTATAAGAGGATATTTTCCTACCAGAAGGGGTGGAGAAGGCACCAGTGAGAAAGAGTATAAGAAGCCTGAATGCATAAGGGACAGAATATAAGAGACCCATGGAAAGAAGATCATGATTTTAAAGCAGTCAAATCCACTAAGGATATATTATGGCAAATTTTAAATGTTACCTTGGTTGAGAAAATAATATAATTTAGAGAAATAATGTAAACATTCTTAAAATCTTCCAGTAAACTTATGAAGTTCACAATCTTGTTATATTATTGTAGTTGGCTTTTTGTGTGCTTACTATATGCCAAATACTATGCTTTATGCTTTGAATAAATCATGTAATTAAATTCTTATGGCAGCCCTATCTGCTAGGTCATATTACTATTTTTACTATGTATAGAAACATATTGGTTCTTAAAGTTGTCAAAAATTATGTTAATTATTATTTAGTAAATTGCTCAACCAGAATGTAAATCAGGCATGACTAATTTGATGGTTTATACTCTTAACTACTACAAAAATGTGCACATTTTAAGAGTAGTTTTTAAAGGAAATTTAGAGATATAATTTGAAGAAAAAAATTATGTAAGGTGAGAATGTACAGCCTCTACATTAGGGGTTCCAACCCCTGAGCCACACAGCAGGAGGTGAGCAGCAGACAAAAGAGTGAAGCTTCATCTGGTTTTACAGCAGCTCCTCCTTGCTCACATTACTTCCAAAGCTCTACATCCTGTCAAATCAGTGGCATCATTAGATTCTAACAAGAGTGCGAACACTATTTCGAACTGCGTGTTTGAGGGATTTAGGCTGCACACTCCTTATGAGAATCTAATGACTGATGATCTGCCACTCCCACCAATCACCCCCAGATGGGAGAGTCTAGTTGCAGGAAAACAAGCTCAGAGCTCCTACTGATTCTACTCATGGTGAGTTGTATAATTAATTCATCATATATTACTATTTAATGCTAAAAGAGATAAAGTGCACAATGGATATAATGGATTTGAATTATCCCCCACTCCAGTCTGTGGAAAAATTGTCTTCTACACAATGGGTTCCTGGTGCCAAAAAGATTGAGGATCATTGCTCTAGATAACTCTCATTGAATAGAAAAAGTGGAGAAAATGGCCACTACACTTCCAGGAACATGGAGTACTGAGACAGGAAGAAAGAAGGAGCTGGTCAGGCAGGCAGTTAGGGTGGGTCCTCAGTAAAACTCCTTCAAACCAAGAACAGCCTGAAAACCAAGCTGCAAGCCCCAGATCAGAATAAGCCTGCATCCCTACATGAAAATGGCCATTCGACTAGCCCAGATGAATAAATTCCAATTCTTTTTAGGAATTCTCTCTCCCTTTGGCATGCCTTTGTCCCATTTCACATGCTTTGTCTTGGCCCTGATTCTTCCCTCTCCTGCTTGGTTCTTTGTACTCCTCTGAATTATTGTGTCTCTCTGAGTGTTGCATTTTGGTGCACTGTTCAGCCCAAGCCTTCCCCATATTAAGACCATAAAAACTCCTGTGTTCAGCCTCATTGTTGGCAACCCTTTTTTGGGTCCCCTCTCGCTGCTGAGACCCTTTCTCTCACTTAATAAATCCTCTTCTCTCTTACTCTCCAGTGTCCATTAGCCTTATTCTTCTTGGTCATGGGACAAGAAACCAGAACTTGCTAAACTGAAGGAGCAATAGAGCTGTAATGTTTCCACTCACCAAGCTGTAGATGGTGGGAGTAAAAGAGCTGTAACACTCCCTCCTGCTTGCCGAACTACAGGAGTGAAGAAGCTGCTGGGTGCTACTATCTCCTGATTGCTGAACAGCAGGAGTGAAAAAGCTGCAACAGTATCATCAGTGTATTCCGGCTTCAGTAAATACCAGATGATATATTGGCTTTTAAGCCAAGTGTTCATAGTGTTTTCTTGGTCCCTGGGGGATGAAGGTCTTCTTAAATCCTTATGTTCTACATAACTGAAGGGACAGGAACTGCTTACCTGACAGAAAATACATGTCCAACTACAAGAGGTCATGCCTTTCTGTAAGTTATAACAAAAAAATGTAGTTTCTCAACTGAAGAAAATGTAAATAAAAATGTTACAAAAAACACAAAAGGTAATGTATTGTTTTGCTATCAAATTATTGTCAGGACAAATTTGTAGTTCTAAAATAACTCACTAAAGTAGCAGCCAGTAAACTACAATTCATTTCAAGTTTGCTTAAGAGCAGTCTTCAGAAAACGCTTTAATGTCCCATTCCAGTTCCCCACTTTTTCCCTCAAAATGGAGCTGTGATTTCAGTGAAATGTTTCCGTAAAAGACCACGCTGAATAGAGGAGTAGAACTTGGATTTGTCTTTTGACATTCTCCTGTCCAGGATGAGCCTTATTTATTCAATCACCTTCTATAGTTTTGGTTGCCTGGGAAATAGCCTTTGTAACTGAAATTTGCATTCTGGATGGTTCTTGTAGAGGAATTTGGGGACCAAAACTTGAAAGGAAATAAGGAAAGGAGAACTATGCAGAAGGAGAAGTTGAATATGCCTTCAAAACTGGGACATGAGAGGTGAGCATTGGAAATGGTGAATGAACAAATCATTTGATGCAAGTGTCATAGAAGAGGGGGAGGAAATGGTAATTTGAATAAGGCAGCTTCTTTTACACTAACGATTTTTTCTTTTTTTTTTAACAGAGTCTGGCTCTGTTGTCGCCCAGGCTGGAGTGCAGTGGCGCGTCTCGGCTCACCGCAAGCTTCGCCTCCCGGGTTCATGCCATTCTCCTGCCTCAGCCTCCTGAATAGCTGGGAGTACAGGCGCCTGCCACCACGCCTGGCTAATTTTTTTGTATTTTTAGGAGAGACAGGGTTTCACTGAGTTAGCCAGGATGGTCTCAATCTCCTCACCTCATGATCTGGCTGCCTTGGCCTCCCAAAGTGCTGGGATTATAGCTGTGAGCCACTGCACCCGGTGTCCACTGATGATATTCTTATGGAGAGCCTCAGATGTGAACTATCAGCAGTTCACAACCTGCTTTTGAAGAAATGTGTTCTGAAAGAGGATCTGGGTGATCCACCTAAGCATCCAAAACAATGAAGAACTACCAGATGTGTCTCCACTTGTGTGTTTGGGAGGGTGTTATGCAAACATCTAATAGTATCAATTAATCCTATTACACAAAAACAAACATGCAGATGAACACTTTGTGTTTTCATATTCAAGGTGATTTAGCCTGAAAAATTTATACACTTACAAATTATTTACAATGCATACAGCTACCCAAGAAACACCAAAAAATCAAACTTCTGAGTTTGCACCAATATAGCTCAGTATTGCCAAACAATGATGGTTTGCAGATTATTTGTAATCATAGGTTCCTTTACTATATCTGCAGTTGTAATTTTCCTAAGGTGAATTTTTTTCAAATCCTGCTAAAGTTCAGGCTGTGCAAAGTGTGTGAGCTGCCTGAGGCAAAGGGTGAAAGAGGTGAACTGAATATTAAAATGTCCATAGTAGTCAGTTTCACTGCTTATCAGTCTCTCCTACATGAGGTAGAAAACAGCAGTTGCTGAGGCTCAGCAGTTAAACTGAGGAATCAGCTTTATTCTGCTGTAGAGTAAATGACATTCTGGGATTTGAGTAGATTAGCTAATTAATGAATGCCTTAAGTACCTACATTGCTTTCCTGCCCCAAGGCTTTTCACATCTTCAACTTACCTTCTTGGTAATGTCTCTGAAATCACTTTTATTCCAAATGCAAAAACATTGTATCTATCATTGACTCCAGACCATAGGAAGGTTTCTTTTTAATATTTTAGTGTCTTATCCGTATTGTACACACGAGCTCAAAGAAGACAGACAATCATACATACACTCATCATTTTCTCAGGAATGATTACTTTCATACTCTCATATTACAATCACACAGACCCACAAAACTCTGTAAATATATCCCTAGTATCAGTGAAGACACAATACCCAAAATTGTTAATTTTAATTTTCATTTCTGCATATTGGAATATTCCATCCATTAATGAGTAGCAAATGTATGTCCTGTACTTCTTTAGAGTGTCATACATGATTCTATACTGAAGAGCATCTGTAATATCCATTTCAACAGCATTAAGTACAACATCTTGAACAGACTCATAATAAAAGGGAAGCAATAACATTGGATTAAAACTTTCCAGACAAAATAGGATGGGTCATCTGATAAGTTTACTGTACAAAATCAAACCAAATTTTCCCATCCAGTATATTAAGAAAGATGCTTAGCTCTACTAATCTTTTACTGTAGAATAATTAAACATTTTACAATTTAAAAATGTTTTAAAATATTGGACAGACACTTAATAATAATTTTGCCCTCTATGTATATTCTCATCACTTAAAACTTTGAAAGTTACAGAAGCCTCACTGAATCCTCAAACTAGGGATTTGTTAGAGCCCACAGTAGCATTCGCTGCTACTGTTCTGCATGTAATTCTCTTGAAGGAAGTGTTTGTGACACCTTAGGGGTTTCCTAGCAAGTAAATCAATTCCAAAGGTTGGCATTGCAGTGATATGGAAACAACAATAACTTCAGAGAAATGTGGTCATAGTCAATGGCATCTTAAAATTGTAAACCATGCAAATGCATCAGCAGGAATACACAAATACACAGGGGAGGCAAAAAGAAAGAGACATGCTAAGCGAAGACTACTGATGCCAATTGTAATGGCCAAAAAGAATTACAGTATAGGGAACACAAAATGAGAATATGATGTTGTTAGCATATATATTCATATTTTCAATTTTTTAGTTAAAATAATAGTATTATTCTCTATATATGTATCTATATTTCCAAAATATGTTGGAATTGAATGCATACGCATTAAAATTCAAACTACAGTATTATATAATAAAATAGATTCTATATTCAACTAAAATGAAAAACTCAAATTGACAATATATAAGCAAACACAGAATAAAAATACAAAGCATATCGTATAGTGATAATGTCACAGTATTATTCTTAATGTGGTCAAATATAATGTTCAACTGACTTTAATAAAGAAAAACTTTGTTACTTAGAAAAATCAGTTTCTGCCAGGATGTGTTAAAATTACTTCTAAAATTTTCACATTCTTTTCAGAGACATGGGACTTTGGCATATTTTTTACTTTAAGGGTAAGTATCAAATATTTGATTATATGCTCATCTTTTTAGGTATTGGCTATAATATCAATATCCATATACTATATATTTAGATTTTGTTACCACATCCTGGCTGCCAAGTTCTTTGGCTATTATGTAAGGTGAAATGAACACCAGGACAATTGGAGATTTTTCTCAGGCAAGATATAATGAGCTTGTGAGTGGAGCACGCAAGGGAACAACGGACAGGAACAGGATCCTAGTACCAGCTCCCAGAGGGGCTCTGCTCTGGTCATTTTGAGGAAGTTGAGGTGGGAAAGGGAACGACCAACATACAAGCATTTTTAGTGAGGGTGTTTTCTGCATCACATGACCAGAAAAAAGCAGATAAGCCCCACCCACCTTGGCTGAAGAGTTTAGTATTACAATGAGATTATAATGAAGAAAATGTCAGTGAAAGGTCAATGCTGAAGTTCACCTTGTCTTCAGGCAGCCAGATCTGGTTATATTCTTACTGGGAATGCCAGAGTCTTGCTTCAGTGACCACGGAAAGCATCACTCAACGAGATAAACACGTTCTTCATTCATGATTAGGATCTCAGCCTGGTCACCTAAGTTAGTCCCATGTCAAGCTACATGACTTGGATCAACTTGCTAAGGGAGGCAGAATGGTAGAGGAAGGAATATGCCCCTACATGTAAGACCCAGCAGGACTTTGGTTTTAATGACACCTGTCAGCCAGGACTGAGTCTCTTCCCTATACTGCCTCACGTTGGAGATTTATATGGTGCCAAGTAGTCAAGAAAAATAAATAATCTCTTTTCTATATATTTGAAAATATTATTATCCAGTGTCATAAAGATAATCGCCTTGACATTTTCTGAAGTTTTACATAGACATATTTTAATGCAGACACTATCTTAATATGTTAGCATTATTTTAATACTTCAAAGAAACTATAGCTCGATAGAAAATATATGTATATATGTACTTTGCTGATTTGACTTCCCAAATTATTAATTTTCAGAGAAAAAATGTATTTTATAATATTCAAGCTTTATCTAAAGCATGAATGTCAGGTGCACGTAAGATTCTAAAAAAGCGAGAGAGGATTTGGAAAGACATACATGTACATTATTCAACTAATTATGCCATTTCAAAAGTTTATGACACTGGTCTTGCTATTATCTTGTAGAGAAAAGTAACATTTGTCATACTCTGGGGTGGGCTACTGACTAAGGCTTCAATCGTGCAGAAAGCAGTTTTCAAATTTCCATTAAAAAAAAGCAGGCTCCATTTCCATGATAAATTACTCCTAGACAAGAATCATAGCTGACTACCCAAGCGCTTGATTCTGTTTTCACTGATTTGTCCTTCAGTCTCCAACAAAATGAAAATGAAGGACTTACAACTAATTGTGGCAGGAAACAGAGCTAATTTCCTCATACTGCCAAAAAAAAAAAAAAAAAGATTGTATGCCATTAAACTTGAGAAGTAATCATATTGTGTGCAATAACAGTGTTATTAATGTCTTTATTGTCCTACAAACTGTCTTGATTGCTATTCTTAAGTAAATTTGCTCCTGAAAAATCATACAGATTTTCCTCAATAACAATGAAAAAAAAAAAGGTTTCAGTTAGTAAAGAAGACTAAAACCTTCTGAAGGAACTTTCAAATTTTCCATTTTAACTGGGAAATCAGAAGCATTTCTGAGTGGGTTAAATATAGCGGACTAGCATAAATTTTAACCCTTTACTTGAAGATACATATCTAAACTTTTAACTAAGGATCACTCCCTCCAATATTCCACTGATTAGTAATCAGTGAAATAAAAATTAAAACTATAATGCAAAGCCATTTTATAGACATCAGATTAGTAAAGATTTAAAATATGTTGGAAGTTATGTTGGAAATTGGGGTTTCTCATCCACCGCTAGTAGGAGCAACCATTTTGAAAAATGCTTTTGCGTTAGTCAGTGAAACTGAATATGTCCTAATTAAAATGATCCTTCTAAGAGGGTGCCCTGAAGTGAAATCTCTTGAACATGTACAGATATGGACTTTCAAACAGAATAGTAATTGTTTGTTTTTTAAAATTAAACTGTTACTACAGTTTCTTGTTTCTGGCCAGATAATTTTCATATACATTAATGTGTATATAATTTAGTTAACAACAAATATTTCGTTTCCTTTTTCTTTGCACCTTTTTGCTTTTCATGTTGTTAGAAAGGTGGCTTATTAAAACTTCTCCAGTAAGAACAAACATAACTGGCCACCCGGAATGCTTTCAGCTTTACCAATATTCTTGATTAGGTAGTGAAAAACAGAAGACTGTGTCATCCATATTTAAAAGCTGGTAAAGATAACCATTTTCATTTAGACAATAATGTGTGTTCCAAATATTGATTATATTTGAGCTATTCATTACTTATGCAAATATACTTATAATTGTTTATGTTATATTAGTTTATTTGAAATTTCATTAACACAACAAGACGGAAGTTTGCACAAGGAAGATTGTCTATTTGCCATTTTTGTATTATAGTTTAAAAAGCTGTCTATTATACACAACACAACTTTCCTTGATGACTGTTTGTCTAGAGGATAAAGTAAAATCACACACCTCCTGACTTCTTATAGGTATAAAGTCAATTTTTTTTAATCTTTTTATCTAGGTTAATGTTTCTAAAGTAGTCTCCTTATTTAGGAAGAGACAGATTCAAAGATGTCTCATTAAGTTAGGTTCCTATTTCTGGATTCCTTCAGATTTACCTATTGCAAGTTATAGATACAACCTACTCAGCACTGTCCTTCTAAATGGCAAAAATAATTGAGTGATTTTTTTTCTAATATAGTGACAGGATTCAGGACACAGAACTCTAAAATACAGCACCTTAGAATTTAAGAAAACAGCAGAAGCAGGAAGATCACTTCAACCTTCCTTTTCCCCCCTCCATTCTCTCTCCTGAAATAAATCATAACACCCCCATTCCCGAGGCACCACTCTGTCTCTGCATGGAGGAAAGAAATGCCCTTATCTCTAGCAG
The DNA here is from genome assembly GCF_000001405.40 of Homo sapiens. Classification (NCBI taxonomy): domain Eukaryota; kingdom Metazoa; phylum Chordata; class Mammalia; order Primates; family Hominidae; genus Homo; species Homo sapiens. The sequence goes on along the minus strand of NC_000004.12, from coordinate 135,787,308 downwards.
CACAGAGACACAGGGAAGAATCTGAACAAAGAGACCTTGCTAAGTTCCCCCCAGTTCATGACCATTATGTCATGCCCCCTTTTGCCCAATCATATTTCCTGATAACTGTTCACTGTTTATCAAACATAAGTGATAAAACACACAGGTTTCCCTGTTCCTTTGAGTCTTCATTCCTGAAGGATCCCATGTCACATGAATTTATATTAAGTAAGTTTGTATGATTTTCTTTTGTTAATCTGTCTTATGTTATAGGGGTCTCATCCATGAACATTGGAATGCATCGGTGAGGAAAATATACTGTTTTTTCTTCCCTTCAATTCATAATTCACTCCAACTAAATACTATCTCAATTTGTCATCTGCGGAGGTTGCCCTCTAGTACACATATTCACACTGTGTTGATAGCCCACGTTCCTAAGACATCTGGGCATTGCCAAATCTCCTGATCTCTGATGACCTTCCGTTGGAGGGAAAGTTGTGTCACTAGAATATTGCTCCCATGTTTATAAAATACCTATAATGCACACGAGAGATCTTTGCCCTCCTGTCCTCACCGGATATTATATATCTGATAAGCAAAAATACATTTTTGAGTATTTGTGCTTTTTTTATCATTAATTTGTTCCATTTTATATATTCATTGACCTTGTGTGTGTATGTGGAGTCCTGTGTATGTTTTTAAAACACTTTACTGAAGTGTAATTGACAAACAAAAAGTTGTACATATTTAATGTACACAACTTAGTGAGTTTGGAGATAAGTACACACCCATAAAACCATCACTACAATTTGTGCCATAAACGTATCCAGCACCTCAAAAAATTTTCTCCTCCAATCTGTGTTTATTATTATTTTCTGATAAGAACATAAGATCGACCCTCTTAGCAAATTTTTAAGTATGTAAAATTTAAGTACACAATACAGTGTTGCTAACTGTAGGCACTATACTGTATGGTAGAACTCCAGGATTTATTCATCTTGTGTAACCGAAACATTTTACCTTGCCATTTTCCTTTCCCCTAACCAATGACAACAACCATTTCACTGTTTCTATGAGTTTGTCTATTTTAGATTCCTCATATAAATGATATAATCTAATACGTGTCCTTCTGTGTCTTACTTCAATTAAAAAATGTCCTTCAAGTTTATCCATGTTGTTGTAAGTGGTATGATTCTCTTTTTTCTTGAAGTTGATTAATATTTCATTGTATGTATATACCACTTATTATTTATCCATTCATCTGTTGGTGGGCTCCTGTGTTATTTGTTTTCCATGTTCTTTTCTTTATTCCTTTATAAAACTTTAATTCTTTACCATTTTGTATCAGATTGAATTCATTCTTTTCATGCTTGTTTATTTTAAATTTGTTATATTAACATTTGGACCTACATAGCTGAAAATGCTTTTTTTGCTTTTTCTAAAGATTTTATCTTTACTTATATTGCTTATGTTGCTTTTTGTCCAAATAATTAAATTTTTAAAATCTATTTAAATATTTTAATTATTACCATACAACTTCCTGCATTGTTTCCCTTGCTTAAAGATATCATAAATTTTAACCTTAATTTTGGATTCTCTCTGCATATTCTGTAAGTCCAGTTTCAAAATGATGAACCAGAAGCATAACTTGGAATTCATCAAACTTAATTCCCGTTATGCTTTCCTCATTCCACAATCTCTTTCTTTTCATTTCTCTTGCTATTGGTCTGTTAAGGAGAACATGGATATTTTGTTCATCTTGTTGGGCAGTACTTACAGCAAACCTAAGACTTAGCTACAATGCATAAATTGGGTTTTCAGAAAATTGGAGTACTTTATTTTTAAGAGTAAAATTAACATATAAGCATTTATCATATTTATTACTTAAGAACAATGTTAAATGAGTGCTTCCTAACTGGTGATTTATGAAAACCCTGGGGCTTGTAATGATTTGAAAACATGCCATAGGCCATTTACTGCACATACTCTCGTGGCACTCACAGAGCTACAGTAAATACAAGTTACTGTCATTTCTTTCCAGTAAGTGAAGTTCTGATAAATTCTAGTATCATTCTACTCTCCAAAATAGCCTCTGTTATTATTACATGCATAAAGATGAATAATTGAAATGCAATTTATTTTGCAGTCTGACATTTTAAATAAATCTAGAACAAAAGTTACAGCCAAACTATACACATAAACATTTCAATATTTTATTAGATATTTGGGGTCTGCAAAACAGTGTTTTCTTTTTTAATAAAAAGAATCTGAGGTAAAAATCCTCAGCATTTTGACCACTGATGTCCAATGTATATCAGATATTTCTTGTTAGTTTTCCTGGAATAAAACAGTGCTATGGTCTGTGTTCCCCAAAATGTATGTGTTGAAACTTAATGGCCAGTGTGATAGTATTAAGAGATGAGGTCTTTAGGAGATGATGCCTTTAGGAGATGATTAAGTCACGAGGGAAGAGCCCTCATGGATGGGATTAGAACCCTTCTAAATGGGCTTAGGGAGTGGGTTTGCTCTCTTCTTGTCTTTTGTCATGTAAGGATGCAGCAAGATGGCCCTCACCATATATGAAATGCTGGTGCCTTCATCTTTGACTTCTCAGTCTCCAAAACTGTAAGAAATCAGGTATATTCTTATGCATTAGTCTCAGGGATTTTGTTATAGCAGCAACAGTGAACTAAGATAAACACTAACATTTTTGTCCTCCATTGTTAAGCTCGATTTCTTATTCTACAGGCTCAAGAATAACTTTAAAGAAGTATAGAGTAGGCTCTGCATTGTTTGGCTCTGTTGTACATTTTACTATGTTACTGAAGAGGATCTATCAATGTAGTTATCAGTTAATTTTCCTGAAGCAGGGTTCTTATTTTTACTCTTTCCATGACTTTTCCCCAAGATCCCAACCTATTGCCAATACAGTTAAGATTTAAGTCAGCTCTAGAACTTGCAAACTAAGGAATCTCCATATGATTCTCATTTTATTTTCATTAATAACTTAATACAACTTATGAGTACTCTAAGAAAAAAATATCTAAATAGGTGACTCTAGACTTTTTTTGGGTCTTTGCTCTATAGGGTATTACAAAAATGTGGTCATGAACATCCATATATAAATCTTTGAGTGTATAAATATTTTCATTTGTTTTGAATATATGCAGATTTATATTTATATATATTTATATACCTAGAAGGAGAATTGCTTTTACTGCAAGGGTATGGTAAATCTGTGTTTAATAATGTTTAATATTTTAAGACACTGTCAATAGATACCCACAAACAATGAATACCTATTTTAGGTTCTGCCCATAGTTGCCTACGCTTGTTACTGTCGGGTGTTTTAACTATAGCCATTCTATTAGGTGGGAAGTGCTATCTCATTAGGGTTGAATTCACATTTCCCTAATTGCTACTGATTTTAATGCCTTTTCATGTGCTCTGTGGCCGTTTGTATGTCATGTTTAGTGAAATAATTATTTATATTCTTTCCAATTTTTAATGAGGCTATTTATATTCTTATGTGTAAGAGTTCTTTCTATATATATTTTGGATATAAATCTTGTATAATATAATTATAAATATTTTCTGCCAGCTTTACCTTGATTTTTTACTTTCTTGATTGTATCTTTTGAAAATCAAAAGCTTTTAATTTTGATTAAGACAAGTTTATCAATTTTTCTGTTACATCTTGCCATTTTCATGTTATATCTGATTATGTATTCCAAATTTAAGAATATTTAATCTTAATCTAAGAGACATAGAATTTTTTAGAGTTTATAGTTTTAGCACTTACAGTTGGGTTTATGACTTATTGTGAGTTAATTTTTCTGTACAGTATGAGGTTAGGAACTAAATTTATCTTTTTGCATTGTATGTACAGTTATCTTAAGATAATACGCGTAAAAGAGTATCCTTTTCTCATTGAGTACTTTTAGCCTCTTTGTTGAAAATCAGTCATGCATGCAATAATTTATTTTATAATTTTGATGATGTTTCACAAATTCATATGTCTTTCGTTATTTCACAACCGTACTGTCTGTATTACTGTAGCTTCGTGCAGATGCCCCTCAACTTATGCTGGGTTAATAAATTCTTTGTAAGTCAAAAGTATTTTAAGTTGAACTATAGTAAGTCAGGGACTCTCTGTACTAAGATTTGAAAGTAGAAAGTATGTTCTTATTTTTTAAAAGTGTTTTGGTTATGGGGTCCTTTGGATTTTTGTGTGATTTTAGCACAAGTTTGCCAACTTCTGCAGAATATGTCAGCAACAGCTGGAACAAGGATCACATTGTAATTTATATATTAATTTAGGAATTATTGCTGTCCTAAGAATGCCAAGTCTTTTTATACTTTTATATGGAAGTTTTACAGTTTATTTATATTTGCTGTTGCACCATTTTCTTTGAGCACTATTTGTAGTTTTCAAAATACAATACTTGTACAATTACGGTTGAATTTCTAAATATTTTATTTTAGTGCTGCTTTAAATGGGAATTTTCTTAGCTTCATTTAAAATTTATATTTGATTTTTGACTGAGACTGCTGGAGTTCATAGTTTTTGAGTATGTGTGTGAGCATGTATGTAAATGCGTGTATTTTTTCTGTATACAAGATTATATTGTCCACAAGTAAAGACAATTTACCTTTTCCTTTCTAATCTGTCCCGATTTTATTTCTCATTTTTTTCCTTTCTTTGCCTAATTGTACTGGCTATTATTTCCAGTAGAATGTTGAACAAATGTGTTAAACGGAGAGAATCTTGTCTTGTTCTGGGAAAAGCATTCAGTCTTTCAACATCTGGTATGTTTGTCAGCTATAAGGTATTTTTAAGATGTTTATTATCAAATCAAGGTGTTTCCACTTTACTTACAGTAGGTAAAAAGTTTTTTTTAATTAAAAACGAGTTTTGCATTTTGCAACTGAATTTCACTGTATCTATTAAGATAATAATTTGCTTTGTGTCTATTGTTCTATTATTATTGTGTGTTAAAACTCTAACTGGCTTTTGGATGTTAAATCAATTAATTCCTGCCATAAACCGTACTTTTAATGGTGTATAATTCTTTTTTATGTTATTGAATTTGGTTTCCTATTGTTTTGTTGAGAAATTGTATGTCTACAATCATGAGGGATTCTGATCTGTAGTTTATGTTTTGTTTTGTTTTGTGATGTCTGTATCCGACTTTATCTAGTTGTATCTGGGCAACACTGGCCTTATAAAATGGGCTAAGTAGTATCCTCCTGTCATGTTTTTTGACATAGTTTACACACTATGGTATTACTTATTTCATAAATGTTCAGTGGAATTTACCAGTTAAAGCACCTGGGTTTGGATATTTCCAAATATGTGTGTGGGTGAATGATTTCTAATTAATAATTTAATCTCTTTAGTTTGTATAGGCCTTTTTATAGTATCTTATATCTTATATATTCTTCTGGGGTCCATTCGGGTAATTTGTGTTTCCAGAAGCTTGTCCACTTCATCTAAGTTGTCTAATTTGTGGCATAAATTTTTTCATACTATTCCTTCAACTCCTTTAATATCTGTTAAGTCAGTAGTGCTGCCCCCTCTTTCATCCCTTATATTGGTAATTTGTGTCTTCTCTTAATTATCCTTGGCTAATATCGTTAAATGTGGGTGAGTTTTTTGCTTAATCTTGAAGAAGATCCGATTTCTGGTTTCTTTTTTTATATTTTCTAATTTATTAATTTCTGTTTCAATTTTTATTTGTTCTTTTTTGGGTTTATTTTCCTTGGTTTGAATTCAGTTTTCTAGCTTTTTATACTAACCACTTTGATTTGAGATCTTTACTCTTATTTTATATTATTATTGTAGTTTAATTAACACCTTCCATTTAGATATTAGTTTTCTTTGGGTGAGTCTTGACTTTTTGTTCCCCTGATTTTCTGTTACTGCCTTCTTTTAACGGCTTGCATATTGTTATAACATTTTGATATATATTTGATGTTTTCTTCTCAGTGGTTGCTCTAGAGATGACACTACATCTCTTGTCTGAATCTGCTTCAAATTTATGCTAACCTAATTCTATTAAAATACAGAAACTTTGCACCATTATAGTAATATTTTCTCTTCCTTTCTTCACGTTGAATCATCTGTATTACATCTATGTATGTTACAAACCCAACATTAGAATGTTAAAATTCATGCTTTATATAATCCTGTGTCTTTCAAAGATTCTCTAAGCACAAATAAAATATAAAATATATGTACATAATCTTACATATTAATCTACTTATGTTATTGTTTCTTGGATTCTTTCTTTCATTGGAGAAGATTGAGTTACAATCTGGAGTCCTTTCCTCTCTCTGTAGAGCATTATTATCCCATTCTTAGATTGCCCAGTTTTCATATATATACATCTTTAAAAGTTAAGGGATAAAATTTTATAATTCTTGTTTTATGTACTTTTTAAGAGTTACTTAAGCAAATAATGGAGAAAATATACAATTATATTATGTAATCATCCACCTTATTTCTATTACCAATGCTCTTTATTTGTTTATATGGATTTGAATTACTTTCTCACTTCTAACCTATTCAAATATATATATATATGCATATACATATATACACACAACAGCTCTGTGTGTGTGTGTGTGTGTGTGTGTGTATTTCTTATAAGCTAGTCAAGATAGCAGTACAATCTTTCAATCTTTGTTGTTCATGACTGTCTTTAATTCACTTCCATTTTTGAAGGATAGTTTTTCTAGATGTAATCGAGATACTTCTGTTTTTGTTTTTATTTTGTGTTTATTGTTTTATTTGCAGGACTTTGACTATGTCATCCACTGCCTTCTGGCTTTCATTATTATTAATAAAATATCAGCTGTTAATCTTTAAGTGATTTGCTTGTATGTAATGAATTATTTTTCTCTTGCTGCTTTAAAGATTTTATTTTCATAACTGTATTTCAATTTTTTGACTATGGGTGTCCAGGTGTGAATATCTTTGTTCAAAAACTTGGAGTTTTTTGAACTTTTTATATCTGTACATTCATGTGTTAAATATAATTTGGTAATTTTTTGGTCATTTTTTTCAAACACATTCTTTTTTTCTTCCTTTTCCTTCTGACACTCTTTATATTTATCTTGGTAAGCTTAATGGCGTCCCATATATCTCTAACTCTCTAAATTTCTTTGTTCTTTTTTTTTTCTGTTCTTCAGATTAGTTAATTTCTATTGATGTATCATCACATCTTTATGTCTTTTTGTCATGCCAAATCTACTTTATCCCCTTTAAGTATTTTTTCTAGTTACTGTATTTTTAAACTCTAAAATTTCTATTTGCTTACATATTATTATTTCTGTTTTTTATAAAGATTCTCTATTTAATGAGTAACTGTCATAGTCTTTTGGGATTCTTTTAAAATACTTTTTTTTAATTTTGGATTTTGAGTATGTTTAAAAGAACTTCTTTGAGGTCTTTATCTTCCAACTGCATCATTTGGACCTGTCTTCCTCAGAACTGGCCACAGTATGCCTAGTTTCATAATCAGCCAGTGATTGGTCAGAGGTTGTGCTTTAAGCCATTTGGTTTTGACCCTTTGAGATAGGTTTGTGTGTATCTTTAGGAATGTTTTCAATTTGGGGGAAGTTAAAAGTAGTCCCTGTAATCAGCCAGTGACAAGTGTTCACAATTTCCCTCTCTGTGTCTCCTGAACAGCCATAGCTTTACACATGTGCATTGCCTTCAGAATCACAAAAGATGGAGTTGGATCTTAGGAGAGCCCTCTTTGGCTGTATCCCACTCTGGGCTTCCCTGACAAATTTCTGGGCGGTTTTCCATTTTTCTACCCTACCTATTTTTTATTTTTTTGCCACTGTAATTTCTGAAAATCATTTCTAAAAATTGATTTTTCCATGCTTCGTTCTGTATAATGTCAAACACCTTAGATCACTCCATGAGTAGAATTTCTTCAACATAGTGTCAGTAGTAGAAATGGCCTCTGCCCAGAATGGAATCTCCATGCAATAGAGCAAGAACTGGGTGTAGGAGGGAGTAGAAAGGAAGCAGCCATTTCTCATGGCCTCTTCTTCTTGCCTAAAGTAGGCTATCTCCACCACAAAGTTATGGTAAAATGATGGAAACTTTGAGCAACTCCCAGAATAAACCTTCCAAACTAGTTGCTGAGTGTAGATGGGAACAGCCTCTGACCTAACTATCTCAAAATCCAATGATGTATTCTGAGAATAGGACATTTTCTTGAATAAACTATTTTTTAAGTTGTATTCTCTGTAGTCAATTTTCAGAGACTGTAAATGGTTGTATTTTACTATTTTGACCATTTTTTGCTGCATTATTCTAGAAATAATTTTTCAAGCTCTTTATACAGGCATTTCAGAAGTCTTCTCATATATTACTTTTTTAAAAAAATAGTAAAAGTGTTGCTTTCGGAAAACATAAACATCAGTATAAAACAAACAAGCTATCTACAAAGCATTTATCTGAAATTAAACAGTTAGCAGAAGATGGAATAAACGCAAAAGTATTTTTATTGCAAAAGTTTTTTCTTCAAGAGGGTTATACTCTTCAATTTATTATTAAATTTTAAAGAGACATTTTACAATAATATATGATAATACTTATATACATACTTTAAAAAGATGTATTGAAATAATAAATTCAGGGCTATCTATATGCAAATTGGTAGATAAATAAGAAATAAAGTTAGTAATATAGATTACTGTTTTTCTTGAAGATTTACACATGGTCATCACAAATTTTATCCTAGGTCTCGTGAGATATCCAGTATTTTTCTCTGAAATTTTCCACCCATTTTGTTTCCATATACGTTGCCACTAAATGCTTGATGTCATTCATACAACCTCTTCTTATTTCTCTACAATGAATTCAAATTTAGGGGATATCCAAATTACATAGCCCTATCATATCAAGTGGAAGTTGGAGGTGGGAGGATTGTTTGTGCAGGAAGTTACATTGCAGCACAGTAGAGAAGGTAAAAATCAAGGAAAGAAAGTATTATACATTTTCACTTTCAAAAATCATTCAGCTGTCTTCAACAAATGTAATTACACATTAAGAAAATTCTCTAAAGTTCTATGAAAATTCATAAATATAACCAAAGCAGAAATGACCAATAGAAACAACATTAAAGAAGTTTAAAGCAGCAATCAGTAAACACTATAACTAATCTAGATGAATATAGTTACAATAAAATAAATGGAGAAATCAATTATAAATATTTTGTGTTTATAATGGAATATCTAAATATGAAAATCAAAAGCATTCAGAAATAAAAATAGAGGTAGAGCAATAATCTACATGGGAAACCTCAATAATCTATTCTGATATATGTTGTAGGCAGAAAATAAATGCATTGTGGATGGTTTCTAATAATTTCTTTTACTAATAGTATAAAATGTCTTCACCTTATTCTCAATACACTAAACCAATGTAAATCTTAATAAAACATGAACTATTATCAAATACTTAGGCTGAGAATACATGCATGAGATGCATGCATTTTTAGGTATATTATTTTATTTTATCTTTGTAGATTTGAGATATATAATGTGATAGATAAATTAAACTGTTTTATGAAATTATGAAAAACAGTAATTTTTCTTTATTTTTAGAATATTTTGTTTGCTTATCTTTTTTTCTATACCACAGAGCAAAAGTCAAGGAGCAACTAAGATTGTGCTATGACTATGCCAGTAATTTGATCTCTTGTGAAAAGCCTTCTCCAAGGCTAGGAGCTCCCAGCTGTTCACTCATTTGGCTCATATTTAAAAGCAAGTATGAAATTATACTTTAACATTGCCAAAATATTTCCCGCTGCCAGTAGTACACAGCCAATGATGCTGAGAAAACATAAGGTGATGTTTGAAAGATATAATTCAGAATATGTTCTTCCTACTTTTTTTGCATCTATAACTGATATTTCACATAAGAAGAAAAAGCACAATAGTGAGGAAAACGCAATAATTGTAGTTTTCATATGGAGTTTAATTTTTGAAACTTTTAAAAATACATTATATGTAGCAGGTTCACAGAGGAAGACTATTAAGATCCTAATGATCAAAATAAATATAAACTATAGTACTTGGAGGTTTTAAAATATAGTCAATTTAGGAAGAAAAAAATGAATATAAAAATATGCATGAGAGAATGATAAGATTAATCTAAATAATATATAACAAAGACATCTCACTTAGAGAAAAATAAGGTCTCAGGAATTTCATGAACTCAAAACACTTTAAAAAACTTTGGATGTCACTGCATTACTTAAGTTAACGTAAGCCTCATATTTAGTGAAGGTCATATACATAATAAAGCTCATTTAGTGAGAAACACTGTTTTTATTTAAATTGAGAAGGATCTTTACTTAAATTCCTTTATGTAAGTAAATACAATTTTCATACCTTAAATTTAAGTATCAAGGAAGTGATGATTTTAAAGTTTGTCCAAAAATTCCTAATAATGAGGATGGGTTTGTTTAATGTGAATAGCACCACAGAAAATTGACTGTAGTGAGTCTTAGCAAAGCTTCCACATGACACATTTAATGTGGAGAAGTGGTAGTCCTAGGGTACTTCTACAATCAGGCTACAGTGTATCTGCTGTAACTCTACTGAGAAGGAGTTAAGAAGATTTGTATGAGAAACAAGATCAGAACAGCTGTTACTGAGTTACCTATTATTCTCTATGCTCACTCCATGCCACCAACAAGGAACTCACCACGATTGCCCAAACATGCCAGGCATACTCCAGCTTTATGGAATCACTTTGGTTGTTACCTCTGCTGGAATGCTCTTCCTTCATATATCTGTTGGCTACATTTTACTCCTTTAAGGCTTAGCTCATAGCTTACCTTCACAATACTGCAAACTGCCTCACTGTACATTCCAGGCTTTCTGGTCACTTTAGCAGATTTTTGTGCTTTATATTTATACTATGTGTTTCTTGCACATAATTGTACCCCTTTAACAAATAATTTACTCATTAAGTCTATTTTTGATTGGCTGTTTTTGAAACAAGCCCAATTTTCCCATATAACTGATGCTTACGGTTTCTTTGAGTGAACAAAGAAATTGATACTACCAGTCTTAAAACTTGTGATAGTTACAATTGTCTGATTTGAGTTTCCTTCTCAGGAAACCAACTATCAGGCTACCCAGATAGTATCAAGGAGCTGAAGCCCTAGATCATTGCACCTGGACCATGAGATGCCAGACTGATCACATATTATGATTGCCCAAACAACCACCTGCTTCCTGTTGATCAACTTCTCTTGCTTACACCTCCCTAATTGCTGTTTTCTCATACTTGGTTACATTTCTTCCCTGCTATATAAACTCCTAATTGTAGTTGGTCAGGGAGATGAATTTGAGACTGAACTCTCATCTTCTTGGCTGCAGCAACTTATTAAAGCCTTCTTCCCTGGCCAGTAATCATTGTCTCAGTGATTGGCTTTCTGTGCCATAAGTAGCAAGACCTAGACCAAAATCTCTAGCATTCTGGTAAAGTTTCTACCCCCTAGAATATATGCAACCAGAGGTCAAGTAACTTAGTTTTGTTAACGGAGGTATACCACATAAACAAAGCCTGGTACATAATTGGCACTTGATAGGTAACTGTTGAGTGAATGTCTGATGAATACACTTTACACAATGAACTCTAAACAACACAGCAAACCATCAGTAGCACAATTGTCTAGGACAATATGCCGATGTAATTACAAGTGGGCTCTTTATTTAACTTAGTTACTGTTTTTCCTATAATTGTTGAAAATGATATTCAGAAATAATTTAGTTGTACCGCAATTGTAGTCCAATTTCTCTCCTTTCTTATTTTGCTACTGTCATGTTACTTTTTAGCATTTTTCATGCCCCTAAATCAATGATTTCTACCTCTCGTCAAAAATTGAAGACTTTGAATGACAAGTGGAGGGAAGCATGTATGTACATGTATGTTCAGATATGTAATGTGTGTACCACACATAAGAATACCTAGTTTCTCATAAAAAGTTTTTTGTAGTAAAGTGTATATACATATCATAAATTAGTGTTTATATTATCATGTTTACCTAAGAAAGAAGGCAATCAAACTAATTAATTGGAAGCTTTTTACTTATAAGTGTGACTTGCTTATTGCCTAGATACAACAGCTTACAGTACTTGCATCCGTGTAAACCAGACTGACATAATAAACTGCAGTTTGCCATACATTTTTAATAAAATCATGATGAGAGGTGAAGCTGGCTGGGCTCCTGGGTCAGGTGGGGACTTGGAGAACTTTTCTGTCTAGCTAAAGGATTGTAAACACACCAATCAGCACTCTGTGTCTAGCTAAAGGTTTGTATATGCACAAATCAGCACTTTGTAAAAATGCACCAATCAGTGCTCTGTGTCTAGTCAAAGGTTTATAAACGTATCAATCAGCCCTCTGTAAAATGGACCAATCAGCAGGATGTGGGCAGGGCCAAATAAGGGAATAAAAGCTGGCCACCCGAGCCAGCAGCGGCAACCCGCTCAGGTCCCCTTCCGCGCTGTGGAAGCTTTGTTGTTTCGCTCTTCACAATAAATCTTGCTGCTGCTCACTCTTTGTGTCCACACTACCTTTATGAACTGTAACACTGCGAAGGTCTGCAGCTTCACCCCTGAAGTCAGTGAGACCACGAACCCACTGGGAGGAAGAAACAACTCCAGACGCGCCACCTTTAAGAGCTGTAACACTCACTGCGAAGGTCTGCAGCTTCACTCCTGAAATCAAGTGAGACTACGAACCCACATGAAGGAAGAAACTCCGGACACATCTGAACATCTGAAGGAACAAACTCCGGACACACCATCTTTAAGAAATGTAACACTCACTGTGAGGGTCCGCAGCTTCATTGTTGAAGTCAGCGAGACCAAGAACCCATTGGAAGGAACCAATTCTGGACAGAATGAGTCCTGTGTTTTGACAAAATCATGTATCCTGTGTTTCATTCTTCAAACACTAAAGATGTCTAGTCTGTTGTTGATTAAAGATAAACATTTGAAATGACTGTGTGTGTCAAAGAAAGGTTTATTTATTTTCATATTTAAGGAATATAATCACTGGGAAAAATTCTTTAGATTATACAACTAGCCAAGACATTTTGACATGTGTTGATTATATTTTAATTAACTGTGGTAAAGTATGGCATTTTAAATGGCTAATATGCTTGTTCATTTTATTAACTTTCTTCAATTAAAAAATGAGATCTAAGAGATAATTTATACTTCTGTCTTTAAATTGTAAATAATAAAATTAGATTAAATATAGCTAAAACTGTATAGAAGCATATTTAAGATGTTAAATCCCTTTTACTACATAATCAAATTAATTTTTGTGCCCTTTGTCATTGTTTGGAGAAAAAAAAAGTATATACATATGTGTCCAAAATTGGCGGGTTCTTGGTCTTGCTGACTTCAAGAATGAAGCTGTGGACCCTCGTGGTGACTGTTACAATTCTTAAAGATGGTGTGTCCAGAGTTTGTTCCTTCTGATGTTCAGACATGTCCAGAGTTTCTTCCTTCAGGTGGGTTCGTGGTCTTGCTAACTTCAGGAGTGAAGCTGCAGACCTTCGTAGTGAGTGTTACAGCTCATAAAGGTGGCGTGGACCCAAAGAGTGAGCAACAGCAAGATTTATTGTGGAGAGCAAAAGAGCAAAGCTTCCACGGGTGGCCAGCTTTTATTCCCTTATTTGGCCCCGCCCACATCCTGCTGATTGGTCCATTTTACAGAGAGCTGATTGGTCCATTTTACCAAGTGCTGATTAGTCCATTTTTACAGAGTGCTGATTGGTGTGTTTACAAACTTTTCCTAGACACAGAGCACTGATTGGTGCATTTTTACAGAGTGCTGATTGGTGTGTTTACAAACTTTTAGCTAGACACAGACTGCTGATTGGCGCATTTACAACCCTTTAGCTAGACAGAAAAGTTCTCCAAGTCCGCACCTGACCCCAAAGCCCAGCCGGCTTCACCTCTCACATATATTCATATACATATAATATTTTTGACAGCACTTAAGAGACCATGCTAAGAAGTGGCCTCCTAATATTTTCTACTGAATTAGATGTTTATTTGTGAGCTACATATTTAGAGACAAAATGATATATGCATTAATCTCTGAAATAATAAATTAATATTTCCTAATTCTAGTTTATTCTTTGTGGAATTTATATTAGATCAAGTAACATGGGATCTTGTCATTAGGGATTTCATCATTCTCAAGTACCATCTTAATCCCACCTTCAGACCAAAAATATGAATTAACTTTCAAATGTTTATAACTTTTAAAGTTCTGTTAGGATTCAAATATATTTAAGAAAAAAAATACAAGCAAACAATGAGATTTAAAACAGAAACAACAAACTGAAAACAACAAAAATGTGATGCTATAGAGAATGAGAACTAAAGGAGTACTTATATGAGAAATACAGTTACAGAAATTATGCTGTTCATAAAAAATTAATGCAGATCATCATTACATTATAAAAATATGTGCTTGGGACAAATTACATATACTTTTCATCTGTATTAAGTCACCACCATTTATTGAAATTGTTTTTCTGCAAAATCGATAAAATTAAATCAAGCATTGCATTCCTGATATAGTTCCAAGATTGCCTTGTGCCTTTGAAAAGCTTGGAGACACCTAAGCTTAAATGTTAATAGTGAAAAGGACATTAAATCTCAGCTACAAAATGTAAAGAACCTGGAAGTTGACACTAGAAAGTGTTGGACAAACTCAAAATCAATGATTTTTCTTGGACCCATTCAAGAATTGAGGTTGTATGGCAAACTGTCACCCTATTTGGAGAGATTAGGCACACACAGAAAAAGGGAACAACCAGGATTTCCTTACCTGGAGCCAACACTGCTGTTTCCGATCATCACTCGTGTTGAAGTTGGCTGATAAACTCTTCCCAGAATACAAATACTATTACATATTTTCTGTCAATTTAAAACATTCATCAATTCACTCTGCCACAAAAGGAGCAGGAAAAACTAACATAAATTCAACTACAGGTTACATTTTCTGAATAGTCTCCTGATCAGCAACATTTTAGCAATGTTGTAGACCATCATGTCATAGATTAACATCCTGTCATCTGACCTCATCTGCCTTTGGTCAGGAAAGGGGGAATGGATGTATTAAAATGCAGCCCTTGGCAGCTAGGAACTGACCTGTTGTTGCTAGGAGCTGACCTTCCATTCATAGCTAAGTACTTAAAGCTAGACTTTGTGTTCCATGGAAAATAAACATTTCTCAAAATACAAATAACAGGAGAAACCAGTCTTTGATCATGATGAATCAAGACAAAAACAAGGCCACTTCATAATTATGCCCGAGCTCATGTGCAAAGAAACCACATACATGATCAAATGTCTACTTTTCATGACTGATATAAATAACCACTGCTTCTTCATCAATTAGAGGTCATTCTGGTACTGTAGTTTTCCTCACATAATTACCCACACTTCGTTGCTAACACTTTGCATATAAGATTTATCAGGCTATCTAATCATAGAATTAATATCACTTTCTGGTAGCATCCAATCCAAAGCAAAGCACTATTTTTTTAAAAACCTCCCCAAATCTCCTAACATTCTCCTACTAAAAGGCCCCACAGTTCTCCATGGTGTGCATTCTCTCTTATTGCATTGGCTCAATACGACCAACTTATGTGTGTTCCTGGTGATCTTTAGCTAGAGAGCACTGATGCTTAGAATAAGAAAACATTTACTCTGACATAAACAGCTATTATTTTATTGCCAGAAATTTATTTTTCAATTTGCATATACAATAAACTATTACTTTCATTTCAATAATTCTTTTTCTTCCTTAAAGTTGCTATAAGTCTTAAAATGGGGTTTAAATATTCTCTCCTCATTTTTATCATTGTTTTTCTCATTTAACCTTGTCATCCTTTCCCTTTTACTCTAGATGATCTATTTAAGTTTGACTTTCTTTTTCTTTGATTCTTCTTCACATATAAAGTATACCCTTAGATCTCTAATATTAATTTTAATTAAGTTTTATAAATTTAGATATATTTTAATATTTCCTGTGTACCTTGTTATTGTTCTAATTTGTTTCTTGTCTGATATATCTTCTTCTTATTCCTTAATATTTTCTTCTTTCTCTACAACCTTCAAGTTGAAATTATTCTCTATTCATGCTTTCTTATTTTTTATTCTTTTCCCATGGTAAATAACACTTATCTGATATATATTTATTGCTTGTTGTTTATCTACTCTACACCAAAATGTAAGCACTTCTAAACACAGAGCTTGGCTTTTTTCACTGCTAAATTTCCAGTAGAAATTGTATGTTCTCAACAATAAAAGTCACTATTGTATGTAGCGTTCCCATCACATATTCACTCTTTCCTTGACATACCCTTCATATGAGAATGTCTGCCCCATTCTACAGGATATTTAAGCTATTCACAGGCCAGTGAACAAGAAATAAATATTTGAATTTTGGGGTGTTTGATATGCAGCATTATCACAGAAACACTGAAAAATATATTTGTTCACACTTGAATAATGCTTACTCTGAGTCAGACATTGCTCATAGTCTAGTACATAGTTAACCATGTACATATATCAGTATGTTCAATCTACCAATGAGATAGACACTATTACCAGCCAAATGTATAAATGAGAGCTCTGAGGTACAGAATTTAAGTAATATACTCAAGTTTACATAGACTATCAACTACAGAGCTAAGATTTGAAGCAAGCCTTCTGACTCCAAAATTATAGTCACATTTAGCAAATGCAAATTATAGGATGTTAAATGAAGAAGTCGGTATTTCTTAGTATAAGTTGCCCCAAGTTTTGTAAAGGAATAAGTATTTTATTTGCAATGCTATTCAGAGTCCATTATCACAATGATGTAGTTTTTTCCTTATAAATGTTTTAAAAATGAATTAATGAGTAGCCAAAAATAATAAGATATGACTCATGTTAGGATTAATTGCTCTTAACATTTTTATGCCATATATTTGTAGATTGTTTCTATGTCAGCAAGCCTTAGCATGTTGTCAAGCTTGTGACGATCCTTATAGACGGCCTCTGTTGCTTACATTCCATATAAAGTACTGAAAAAATTTATAATTAGTGTCCATTAGATGCTTTCCCTTAAGGAAAAGCACTGATTGCTCCTAAAAAGGAGCAATGTTAATTAATCAAGAATTTTTTGCCTTTGCATATTCAAGTCTTTTAGCAATTCAAGAGCAGATATAATTTAAAAAATAGCGTAACAACCATTTTAGAGCCAAAAATGCTCAAAAAACAAAATGAGATTATGGTAAATTAATATTATTTTTAACCTTTGTTTTTGATGCTGGGTAACAACAACAGCTTAGTTGGAAATATAACTTTATGTACAGGCATCTGTGTTTCACTTTACTGTACTTCACTGATATTGTGGTTTTTTGTTTGTTTGTTTGTTTTTGTTTTTAAATTGAAGATGTGTGGCAACCATGCCTCGAGAAGCCTATTGGCACCACTTTCCAACAGCATGTGTTCACTTGGTTTCTGTGTTTCAAGTATTGGTAATTCTTGCAATATTTCAAACTTTTTCATTATTATTATATATGCTCTGGTGATCTATTATAAGTGATCTTTCATGCTGCTATTGTGATTTTTTTGTAGTGCCAAAAACTATGTTCATATAAAGTGGCAAACTTAGTAAATGTGCATTTTCTGGCTGCTCAACTGGCTGGCCATTTCCCAATCTCTCTTTCTGCCCTCAGGCCTTCCTACTCCCTGAGACACAGCAATACTGAAATTAGGAGAGTTGATAACCTCACAATGGCCTCTAAGTGTTCAAGTGAAAAGAAGAGTCACAGGTCTGCCTCTCACTTTAAATTAAAAGGTAGAAATTATTAAGCTTAGTGATAAAGCCATGTCAAAACTCGAGACAGGCCAAAACTTAGCTCTCTTGAGCTGGACAGTTAGCCCATTGTGAATGCAAAGAAAAATTTCTTGAAGGAAATTAAAACTGTTGCTCTGGTAAACAATGAATGAAAAGAAAATGAAACAACCTTATGGCTGATATGAAGAAACTTTTCGTTGTCTTTATAGAAGATCAAACAAGATGCAACATCCTCTTCAGCCAAAGCCTAATCATGAGCCCAGCACCAACTCTCTTCAATTCTATGAAATCTGAGAGATGAGAAAGCTGCAGAAGAGAAGTTGGAAGCTAACAGAGGTTGGTTCATGAATTTCAAAAAAAGAAGCCATCTCCATAACATAAAAGTACAAGGTGAAGCAGAAAACATTGCAGCAAGTTACTCAGAATATTTTACTAAAATAGTTGATGAAAGTGACTACACCAAACTAAAAATTTTCAGTGTAGTTCATGAAGCAGCCTTCTATTGAAAGTAGATGCCATCTAGGACTTTCATAACTAGAACAGAGAAATCAATGCCTGGCTTCAAAGCTTCAAAGAACAGACTGACTCTCTTCGTAGGAGCTAATGCAACTGGTAACTTGAAGTTGAAGCCAATATTCATTTGCCCGTTTTAAGGATTGCAAGCTTCTTAAGAATTATTCTAAATCGATTCTGCCTGTGCTCTATAAATGGAACAATAAAGCCTGGATGACAGCACATCTGTTTACAGTATGGTTTACTGAGTAGTTTAAGCCCACTGTTGAGAACTACTGCTTAGTAAAAAAAGATTCCATTCAAAATATTACTTCTCATTGAAAATGCTCCTGGGCACTTAGTAGACAGAAATATACAAGGAGAATAATGTTATTTTCATGCCTGCTAAGACAACACCTGTTTTGCAATCCACAAATCAAGGAATAATATTGATTTCCAAATTGTATTATTTAAGAAATACATTTTATTGGGCTATAGCTGCCATAGACAATTATTCCTCTGGTGGTAAAAGTAAATTGAAAACCTCTGGAAAGGATTCACCGTTCTAGATTCTGTTAAGGATATCCATGATTAATGGGAGGAGGTCAAAATATCACCATTGACAGCAATTTGAAAGAAGTTAATTTCAACTCTTATGGAAAGTATTGTGGGGTTCAAGGCTTCTAAGGAGGAAAACCGCAGATGTGGTGGAAATAGCAGGATAACTGGAGTCATACGTGGAGACTGAATATGTAACTGATTTTCTGCTATTTTATGACAAAACTAATGGATGAGGAGTTGCCTCTTCTGTATGAGCAAAGAAAATGACTTCTTGTGATGGAATCTATTCCCACTGAAGATGTCGTGAACGTTGCTGAAGTGATAACAAAAGATTTAAAATATTACATAAACTTAATTGATCAAACAAGTGGCAGGGTATGAGAGGACTGACTCCAGTTTTGGAAGATATTCTACTATGGGTAACGTATTGTCAAATACCAACACATGCTCAGAGAAATATTCCATAAAGTGAAGAGTCAATTAATGCAGCAAATTCTACTGTTGTGTTATTTTAGAAATTACCACAGCTACTTCAACTTTCAGCAATCACCACCCTGGTGAATCAGCAGTCATCAAAATTGAAGAAAAACTTGCAACCAAAAGTATATTACAATTCGCTGAAGGCTTGGATGGTTGTTGATATGGTTTGGCTGTGCCCCCTCCCAAATCATATATATTTTTAAATTTTACTTTAAGTTCTGGGATACATGTGCAGAACGTGCAGGATTATTACATAGGTACACACGTGCCATGGTGGTTTGCTACACCTATCAACCCATTATCTAGGTTTTAAGCCCTGCACACATTAGGCGTTTGTCCTAATGCTCTCCCTCCTCTTTCCCCTTACCCCTCAACAGGCCCTGGTGTGTGATGTTCCCCTCCCTGTGTCCATGTGTTCTCATTGTTCAACTCCCATTTATGAGTGAGAACACGTGGTGTTTGGTTTTCTGTTCCTGTGTTAGTTTGCTGGAAATTATGGTTTCCAGCTTCATCCATGTCCCTTCAAAGGACATGAACTCATTCATTTTTAGGGTTGCATAGTATTCCATGGTGTATATACGCCATATTTTTTTTATCCAGTTTATCACTGATGGGCACCAAATCATATCTTAAACTGTAGTTCCCACAATCCCCACGTGCTATGAGAGGGACTCAATGGGATGTAATTGAAATATGGGAGCGGTTACCTCCATGGTCTTCTTGTGATAGTGAGTGAGTTCTCATGAGATCTGATGGTTTTATAAAGGGCTTCCCCCCAAGGCCTGCTCTTCACTCTGTATTTCTCCTTGCTGCTGCCATGTAAAGAAGGATGTGTTTGCTTCCCCTTCAGCCATGATCCTAAGTTCCCTGAGACCTCCCCAGCCATGCCTCCCTCTCACATATTTTAATTGTGACTCAGTTAAACAGCTTTCCTTGATAAATTATACCATCTTGAGTATGTCTTTATTAGCTGTGTGAGAATGGACTAACACAGTAAATTGGTACCACAGAGAAAGGGGTGCTGCTGTAAAGATACCCAAAAATGTGAAAGCAAATTTGTAACTGGGTAACAAGCAGAGGTTGGAACAGTTTGGAGGGCTCAGAAGAAAACAGAAAAATATAGAAAAGTTGGAATTTCCTAGAGACATAGAAGGTTTAGAAGATAGGAAGATGTGGGAAAGTTTGGAATGTCCAAATTCCAAAGTTTGGAAAGTTTGGAATGGCTTTGACCAAAATGCTGATTTTGGTAAAATGTGGAGGTGGTTTCAGGTGGAGATAAGTAACCTGTCAGGAAATGGAGCAAAGGTGACTCTTGTTATACTTTAGCAAAGGGACTGGCAGCATTTTGCCCATGCCCATGCCCATGCCAAAGATCTGTGGAACTTTGAACTTGGGTGAGATGGTTTAGGGTATCTGGCAGAAGAAATTTATAAGCAGCAAAGCATTCAAGAAGTGACAGAGTATAATAGTCTGAAATATTTGCAGCCTGAAGACATGGTAGCAAAGAAAAACTAATTTTCTGAGGAGAAATTCAAGCCAGCCACACAAATTTGCATAAGTAACATGTATCCAAATGTGAATCACTGGGACAATGAGGAAAATGTCTTCAGGGCATGTTAGAGACTTTCACAGCTGCCCCCCTCCCTGCCCACCTGCTACATTACAGACCCAGAGGCCTAGGAGGAAAAAATGGTTTCTTGAGCCTGATCTAGGGCTCCCCTGCAGCATAAGCCTAGGGACTTGGTGCTCTGTGTCCCAGATGCTCCAGCCATGGCTAAAAGGGGCCAAAGTACAGCTCAGGCCATGGCTTCAGAGGGTGCAAGCCCCAAGCTCTGACAACATCCACGTGGTGTTGGTCCTGCAGGTGCTCAGAAGATGAGAATGGAGGTTTGGGAACCTCTGCTTAGATTTTAGAGGATGTATGGAAATGTTTGGAGGTCCATACATTCTCTGAAATCTAGGTGTGCTTCAGGGGTGAAGCCCTCATGGAGAGCCTCTGATAAGGCAGTGCAGAAGGAAAATGAGGGGTTGGAGCCCCCACGCAGAGTCACCACTGGGGCTTTGCCTAGTAGAGCTGTGAGAAGAGGGCCATCATCCTCCAGACCCCAGAATGGTAGATCCGCTGACAGCTTGCACTGTGCACCTGAAAAAGCTTCAGACAATCAACACCAACAGTGAAAGTAGCAGTGAGGGGGGCTGTACCCTGTAAAGCCACAGGGTTGGAGCTGCCCAAGGTGATGGGAGCCCACCTCTAACATGAGCATGACCTAAATGTGAGACATGGAGTCAATGGAGATCATTTTGGAATTTTAAGGTTTAATGACTGCCCTATTGGATTTCGGACTTGCATGGGGCCTGTAGACCCTTTGTTTTGGTCAATTTCTCCTATTTGGAATAGGTGTATTTATCTAATGCCTGTACACACACTGTATCTAGGAAGTAAATAACTTGCTTTTGATTTTACAGGCTCAAAAGTGGAAGGAACTTGCCTTGTCTCAGATGATACTTTGGCTTTGGGTTTTGAGTTAATGCTGGAATTAGTTAAGACTTTGAGGGACTGTTGGAAGGGCATGATTGTGTTTTGAATTGTGAGGACATGAGATTTGTAGGGGGTCAGAGGCAGAGTGATATGGTTTAGCTGTGTCCCCACCCAAATTATATCTTGAACTGTAGTCCCCATAATTCTCACTTGTTGTAGAGAGACTCAGTGTGAGGTAATTAATCATGGGGGCAGTTACCTCCATACTGTTCTCATGATAGTGAGGGAGTTCTCACAAGACCTGATGGTTTTTATAATAGTCTTTTCCCTGCTTCACTCTGCTCTTCTCCTTGCTGCCACCATATGAAGAAACACGTTTGCTTCCACTTCCACCATGATTGTAAGTTTCTTGAGGCCTCCCCAGCCATGCTGAACTGTGAGTCAATTAAACCTCTTTCCTTTATAAATTACCAGTCTCATGTAGGCCTTTATTAGCAGTGTGAGAATGAAGTAATACAGTTGTTAGCATTTTTAGTAATAAGGTACTTCTCATTAATGTATATACATTTTTTAGGCTTAATACTCCTTAATACTCCTTAAGTACTATTAAGTACTAATCAATACTACTCAAGTGTCTACAATATAAGCTTGTACTGCATTTATAGAAATGTCTTATCAGTAATTTATAATGTTATATACTCTAAATGACTTACTATGAGCCAAATAAAAAATGAACAGATATAATTAACTTTATTCATTTTTTTAATCCAAGAAATAATTTTTAAACTTTTTTTTGGGCAAGACACAAATTTTAGATTCTAGAAATATAATTTTTTGCTTTAAGAGAGAGTTTAAAAATAATGCATATTACCTACACCCAAAAGTTTGACTTGAAAACCTGCATGTATAATTAAAATGAAATTTAACAATTAGTAGAAGCAGTATTCTCAGAGAAATTTGGAAAAAAGATACAGGACTAACAGTGAGTAGGAGAAGATAAATTGATATTTTAGTAATATCTTTAAGGAGTCGCAGGTATTACCAGGCAGAGGTGACAGGCTTTCAAAGGGGTATAGAGCAGTACAGGATGCCATGTTCAAGGTATACTGAGAAGCTAGGTTACAAAAAAAAAAAAAAAAAAAAAAAAGGTGTATTTGCAATTGGGTCTTGAAAAATTATAGAGAATAAGATTGAGAATAAATACTTTGTTTCAAGGGCAATATGGCCTATATAATATGTATGCATATATAGGTATTGAGGGCCATGTAGCCCCTGAAACAAAGTATTGCTTCACAATCTTTTAACTAAACTTTTAAACATTTTTGAGGTAACATGTGGCAACATAGATTCATAAACAGAAGTCTATCATTCTTACATTAGTGTCTGGGAAGGAAAATATCAGGTGCATCATGGAAAACCTGATGTTTTCTCTCTAGAAAGATGTGAATCCCAGAATGCAATGTATACAAAAGCATGTCCCTGATTATATTAGTTTAGTAGCTCCAAATAATATTTAATTTTGAATAAGGTATTTCCTCAGTTGATAACAGATTTTAACACTGAAAAGACTGGAACATTCTGTGTGTGTATCACTAATGAGAATAAAAGACTTTTATACAGAAGTAAAGCGTAATTATTCCTGTGGCTGGAGGGAAGCTGTATTTTGGAGATAACATCTTATCTGAATTTTATAGTCTTTGCATTATCTTGCTACTGGGATTTCTTGGACACTGTTGGCCTGACTATTGTTTTATTGATGAGGGATATGGAGTAGGAATAAAAAGCTACCACACTGAAAACATTTGAAAAACTCTTGATTATCTTGAATATTCAGTTGTATAGATTCAGTCAAAGGAGAAATAAATAGCACTCTAAGTCCTATTCACATCTTATGGAAACTTTAAAGAAATAATGACAAAATTTATATTTATTTAGAACAAATACTGTTACAAAGATTAAGTAACAAACTTGCTTAATGAATAAATAAGAAGTAAGTTTAATGAATATTCCTCAAATATGTTTTAATTTTTAAATTTAATCAGTTAAAAATTCAATAGCAGCTTTTGCAATAATTATATATTGAATTTTAAGCATCCCAAATCCAAAAATTCAAAATCCAAAATGTTCTCAAATCTAAAACTTTCTGAGTACTGACATGATTCTTAAAGGAAATGATCATTGCGGCAATTCAGATTTCAGGCTTTTGGATTTGGGATGCTCAAACAGTAAGTAAATGCAAATATTCCAAAATTTGAAAGAATACAAAATCTGAAACAATTCTGGTCCCAATTATTTCAAATAAGACATCCTTAACATATAAAAATATTTCTTATCAACTTTATTCTCTGAAATCAAATGAAAACAATAATATCATGGAAAGATAAGAGATAAAGCCAGCTTTATTGAAACTAAAATGTGTCTCAAAATCTAAATTTCAAACCAATAAGAATAGTTGAACTACAATAAATATTCTAACTCTCCTCCAGATACTCTTTTAACACTTGAGATACATCAGTGGGGAAAAAACAAAAAGCAGCTAAATATTGCTATCTTTGTAAATCTTGCATTTTAGTAGAGGATAGACAAGCAGTAAACAATAAATATTAGAAATAAATAAATTACACAATATATAAGAAGATTCTAAATCATGTGAAAGAGGCAAAATATAGAAGAGGAAAACTGGATGGGAAGTTTGTGGTGTTGTCAAAGATAAATTGTACCAGATGGATTTAAATGGGTAGAAATACTTAATTCAAGACTATTGCAGTAGAAAAAAGAGATTGAGCTCAACTCTGTTTGAAACAGTAAGTGTGAGAGTTTTTCAGTATTGGGTTATGAAAACTAGTAGAAGGTGTTAGGTGGGAGATGGGTCAATGTGATTTGGCAATCTGTTTGCTAGTTGGTGCTTACTGAAATTAGGTTCCTACCTTCCCACAGAAACTGGGTTATAGGGCTGCTATCTTTCCTAATCATTACTTTTTTGCAATTTCTAAAAAATAATCAATTTATTTTACTATTTTTTTTCATATCAATAGTGTTCAGAAAACAGGAGGTTTTAGTTACAAGTTATTTAGTGATGATTTCTGAGATCTTGGTGCACTCATTACCTGAGCAGTGTACACTGTACCCACTGTGTAGTCTCTTATCCCTCACCCTCCTCCCATCCTACCTTCTGAGTCCTCGAAGGCTATTGTATTATTCTTATGTCTTTGCATCCTTATAGCTTAGCTCCCACTTACATATGAGAACGTACAATATTTGGTTTTCCATGTCTGAGTTACTTCACTTAGAGTAATGGTCTCCTACTCCATCCACGTTGCTGCAAATGCCATTATTTCATTCATTCATTTTTATGACTGAGTAGCATTCCATGGTGTATATATATCACATTTTTTTATCCACTCATTGGTTGATGGGTATTTACATTGGGTCCATATTTTTTCAGTGAATTACAAATTCATTTTGTAAATGAATTGTGTTACATTTCAAAGAGATGGCTCCCAGGTCTTTGAGGAAGGCATTTGGTGGTTTTAAAACATTTTGGGGTAGTAGGAGAATGGGAGATTTATATCTTAAAACAAAGAGAAATAAATTTCAATTGCAAGTAATATAAAGTAAAAACCCTAAGAAAAAGGAGGGCCTCTAATCAGAAAGAAATTTGTCTAAAATTTTGAAAAGCAGACGAGAACTTTCGGGAGGTATGCTGCCTCTTATAATATTAAATAGGGTAGTTAACGTAGCCTTCATTAAGAAGACATTACTCGAGCAAATGAAGTACTAGGCCTTGGAAGATCAATCTTGGTGGGAAGACAAAGGTAGAGCAAAGGCTTTAAGGTGGAATATTGACTGGCATGTTAGAAGAAAGCAAAGAAGTATGTATGGCTGGAGAGGATTGAGTGAGTATGAAAGCAGTTGGTGAATTTACAAAGATAAAAAGGTCCAGATCATTTGGGGTCTTGTAAGCTGCTGTAAACATTTGATTTCACCCTTAAAGAGCAAGAAATTTTCACAATGCCATTCTATTCAAAGACCAAAAAGAAAGACCATATTGCAAAAACAAAATAATCCAGATAAATATTTTTAGATATCATGTAGTATGTGGAATGCATTTGTCTTTGCTATGCTTCCTTAATGATTCATAAAGCATAGTTTATGAAGTATTCATAAGCAGCCTTTATGAAGGATTATTCTCTATAGAATCTATCTATCTATCCCTACTTCTTCTATAGAATCCAATGAACTATAGAAAAATATGTTTACTATGTGGAATAGAATTGTTTATAGCCACTTATATCTTTAATCAACTAATAATATATTAAAGAATAAAAATGCACAAAACCCACAAGAATAAACAAAGTAGAAGCAAAGGTAATAGGAAATAAAAATGTTAAAAAATTTACAAATACTTTATGTAATAATTGTCCCTAAAATATCAATTTTCATACACAATAGGTGACCAAAAAATAAACAAAAATCAAGTATACTTCTATTCCCAAAATAAACATTATTAACTCCAAGTTTTATTCAGAATCATCTGAAAATTGCTTCAAATCTGATTGGTTATCTGGTCCTATTCAATACAAGCTTATCAATTTATAAACAGTTTACACTCATGGAGCTTCACTGTCAGTGTTTGTCAACTGTAAGACAGAAAAAGTTAAACACCATGTTGATTTACTGAAAATGGCTTGCAAAGTGCTAAACTCATGAAGCGTGCTTACAAATAATTTCCAACTCTTGTGAAACCAGCTGATTGTCATGTCAACATGCAAAATAAATGCAGAAATTACGTGACCTAAGTGACTTTATATACGCTCCCTGATATAGTCTCACTCTGTGTCCCATCCCAAATCTCATTTTAAACTGTAATCTGAATTGTAACCCACATGTGTTGGAAAAGCAACCTCATGGGAGGTGATTGAGTCATGGGAGTGGTTCCCTCATGCCGTTCTGATGATACTGAATGAGTTTTCACAAGATATAAATTGTTTCGTGATGGGCTTTTCCCCCTTCACTCTACACTTCTCTCATTCTTCTCCTTCCTGCTGCCATGGGAAGAAGGCATGTGGTAAGTTTACTGAGCCCTCCCCAGCCCTGTGGAAATATGAGTCAATTAAACTTCCTTCCTTTATTAATTAGCTAGTCCTGGGTATTTCTTCATAGCAGCATGGGAATGGACTAATACAGTAAATTGGTACCAGTAGAGTGAGGTGCTGCTATAAGGATATCCAAAAATGTGGAAACGACTTTGGAACTGGGTAACAGGAAGAGGTTGGAACAGTTTGGAGGGATCAGAAGAAGACAGGAAAATGTGGGAAAGTTTGGAACTTGCTGGAGACTTGAATGGCTTTAACCAAAATGCTAATAGTGATATGAACAATGAAGTCCAGGTTGACGTGGTCTCAGATAGAGATGAGGAGCTTGTTGGGAACTGGAATAAAGGGACTCTTGCTGTGCTTTAGTGAAGACACTGGCATCTATTACCCCTGCCCTAGAGATCTGTGCAATTTTGAACTTGAGAGAAATGATTTGGGGTATTCGACTGAAGGAATTTCTACCTGGCAAAGTGTTCAAGAGAAAGCAGAGCATAAAAGTTTAGAAAATTTGCAGCCTGAAAAAATGCAATAGAAAAAGAAAACACATTATCTAGGAATAAATTCAAGGCAGCTGCAGAAATTTGCATAAGTAACAAGGAACAGAATGTTAATCACCAAGACAATGGGAAAAATATCTCCAGGGCATGTCAGAGACCTTCACAGCAGTTTCTCCGATCAGAGACCTGGAGGCCTAGGAGGAAAAAAAATGATTTCCTGGGCTGGGTCCAGGGCCTCTCTGCTGTTTTCTGCCTAGGGAATGTATCTCAGCCACTCTAGCCATAGCTAAAAAGGGGCAAGGTACAGCTCAGGTCATTACTTTCAAGGGTGAAAGCCCCCAGCCATGGCAGCTTCCACGTGGT
The DNA here is from genome assembly GCF_000001405.40 of Homo sapiens. Classification (NCBI taxonomy): domain Eukaryota; kingdom Metazoa; phylum Chordata; class Mammalia; order Primates; family Hominidae; genus Homo; species Homo sapiens. Next base: position 135,759,447 of record NC_000004.12, on the reverse strand, counting down.
GTTGGCCCTGCAGGTGCATAGAAAACAAGAATGGAGGTTTGGGAACCTCCACCTAGATTTCAGGGTATGTATGAAAATGTCTGGATATCCAGGCAGAAGTCTGCTGCAGGCAGGGAATCTCAATGAAGAACCTCTGCTAGGGCAGGGTGGAGGGGAAATATGGCGTCAGAGCACTCACACGTAGTCTACACTGGGGCACTGCCTAGTGAAGCTGTGAGAAGAGGCCCACCATCCTCCAGACCCCAGAATGGTAGATCCACTGACAGCTTGCTCCATACACCTGGAAAAGACCCAGACATTCCACACCAGCCCTGAAAGCAGCTGGGGCAGGGGCTGTACCCTGCAATGTCACAGGGGCAGAGCTGCCCAAATATGTGAGAGCTTAACTCTTGCATCAGTGTGGTCTGGGTGTGAGACACGGAATTAAAGGAGATCATTTTGGAACCTTAAGGATTAGTGGCTGCCAAATGGGATTTCAAACTTGCATGGGATCTATAGGCCCTTTGTTTTGGCCAATTTCTCCCATTTGTAACGGGTGTATTTACCAAATGCATGTAGCCTCACTGTATGTAGGAAGTAATTAACTTGCTGCTTTTGATTTTACAGGCTCATAGGCAGAAGGGTCTTGTCTTGTCTTGGATATGGATATGACTTTGAACTTGGACTTTTGAGTTACTGATGAAATGAGTTCAGTTTGGGAGACTGTTGGAAAGGCATGATTGTGTTTTGAAATATGAGGACATGAGATGTGGGAAGAGTCAGGGTTGGAATGATACAGTCTGGCTCTGTTTGCCCTCCAGAATCTCATCTTGAATTATGATCCTAATTGTAATCTCCAAGTGTTGAGGGAGAGATCTCATGGGGGGGAGTTGAATCATGGGGGTGGTTCCCCCGTGTTGTCCTTGTGATAGTGAATGAGTTCTCACAAGATCTGATGGTTTTGTGAGGGGCTTTCCCCCCTTCACTCTGCACTTCTCTCATTCTTCTCCTTCCTGCCACCATGTGAAGAAGGACATTTTTGCTTTCCCTTCCCCCATGATAGTAAGTTTCCTGTGGCCTCTCCAGTGCTGCAGAGGTGTGAGTGAATTAAACCTCTTTCCTTCATGAATTACCCAGTCTCAGGTATGTCTTCATGGCAGCTTGAGAACTTATTAGTACACTCCCTGAAGATAGTACATAAACTGAACATATATATATATATATATATATATATATATATATATATATGCCCATATTTCCTTTGATTAGCATAAATTATTAATTCTCTCATAAAGTATAATATTGGTCCTTGGATAAAGAGCTCATTGATTAGACTTGTCAAGTCAGGAAAGAAGACTTACTCTTCAGAAAGCCTAGAACTTGTTATTTTATATTACACAAAATCTTGAGCATTCTTGAACAATAATAAAATAATATAATTTAAGATACATTTTATTTTTCAAAATGGATTACTGCATAAAAAATCTATATTTATTGGGCAATTACATGGCTTTACTATCTGGCCTTATTCTATTTACAATTATATTTAAAATTACACCTTGTGTCATTTTGTTCTTGTTTTCCAAAGATATTTACAATTTTATCCACATCACAATTTATTGAATTAAAGACTATGTCCCAATTTCATATTATTTTAATACAAAACAAGCGATTGGGCTTTTTAAGAACATGTCTTTCCAGAAGTCATAAAAACATATCACCTCAGCTGACTATATCTATTTATTAAAGACTAATTCTTCATGAAGCATTAGGGAAATCATCACTAGATAATAAAAAGAAGTATTTCTGACTGGTGTATAGTGAAATTCTTTAACTGTACAGTACTAAAAATCACTTGGACTGTGTCATATATTTAATCTTTGAGTCTGGACTCAAAGTAATTCAGTGCTCAAGGAAATCATGTATTTGCTTATTGTTTTCTTCAGATCACTTTACTAAATGGTACTCTTGTGACCTAAAAAAGTTGCATAAATATGTGTTCTTTTACTATGTGGCGTAATACTTAGCATACAGTAGGCATTCTGTACTTTCTTGCTTGATGAGATAGTTATATTACTGGTGGAGAATAGCAGACTCTGGAAAAGTTTTTTTTTAAAAAACAAAAACCTATGGGTCCTTTTACTCTTTCCAAGTTAATTATTAGTGTCTAATAATAAGGTAGACATTTGGTAGCAGGACTGGCCTCCACTACATTGAAACTATCATAAACTCACAGATGTACATATACATTTGTAACTATAAAATACAAAAAAATATATAGTGGAGTGTTAATTTTACATAAGATTGAACAGTGGAAGCAAAAAATTTCAGCATGACTTTTTCAGGTGTAGACAAAGCAATTTTTGTATAATGTCTGCATTGTCTTCAAATTAAAAATAAGAATATTCATATAAGTTCCAAATTTTTATTTACTAAAGAATAATTCAAGAAGGGTCAAGTCACAATTGAGTCAGATATTTGGCATTTAATCTGTGCAAAAACAAAGTACCTCTCGGTTAGAAAGTGCTTTCTTTCTTTTACCTAAATCTTACATTTTAAGTCTTACATCTAATTAGATGCATTCTAATATAATGAGATTTTGACTTCTACACTGTCACTTCCGGTTATGAATTGTTTGCCACTTCCTTCCAGTTATATTACTATGTATTAAAAGTTTAATGTATTCTGGGCATTTATCAAATGTTATTTTTTAAGCTGTTGTATAGCCCAAATAAGAACCCATGAATTTCTGTGATGTCACTGACTTTATGATCATTGCCCATTTTTACAGCATTCTGAACACTTCTTTCCCACAACACTAATATAACGTTTTTAATAAAATGTAGCTAACAGTGACCTGAACACTGATCCCAGATGAAAATTTCCTTTATCCTCATAAAGTATGCTAAATCTCTAAGGTATTTTTTGAACTATTCACTTTGTAAACATATGTGCCTTGGGAACCCCTTTTATCTCCAGTATAATAAAGTAAGTATAACTCTGATAAAATTTCACTTCCATTCATCATATTATAGGACTATTAATTGAATCTATGGTTTCAGCTATTTCTTTGTTTTTACATCAAGAACATCAATAAATGAAACTATTTCTGATGAACACTTCAGACTAATACACAAAAATAATTTAGACACCAAGAAAATTAAAACATCTATAGAGTGAACTGTGAAATTATAGGAAAAACCCTCTTTGGAGTGAAAAAATAGATTAAGGAGTTTCAAATTTTTGATGATTGTTGACAAAGTTTATCCTCTCAGCAAAAGTTGAGTGAGCTTCTCAACCTTCTCCTAGGCCTACCTATGCACTTTCTTGTAAAATCCAGTTTTGGCCAGGAACCTTGCTAAATCAGTTTACCAAGAACTCTCCATTCTTGACGTCTGATTATCTTAGATATCTAACTGGGTTTTTCATCCTCCACCATCCTCCAAGTGATATGTGATCACTCTGGTCTATCTTCAGAAAGAATCCTGTTAGGTCTGTTTAGCCAGAATCTTCCTGATATGGTTTAGATAGTTGTCCCCTCCAAATCTCATGTTGAAATGTGATCCCCAGTGTTGGAGGTGGGGTCTGGTGGGAGGTTTTTGGTCATAGGGGGGGATCCCTCAAGATTGGCTTGGTGCCATCTCCTTGGTGATGTGTGAGTTTTCACTCTATTAGTTCACAGGAGAGCCGGTTATTTAAAAAAGCCTGGCACCTCTCTTCTCTCTTGCTCCTTTTCTCATCATGCGAGATGCCTGCTCCCCCTTTGCCTTCTGCCATGAGTAAAGGCTTTCTGAGGCTTCAGCTTAAGCCAAGGAGATGCTGGTATTATGGTGGTATAGCCTGTAGAATCATGAGCCAAATAAACTTATTTTTTAAAATAAAGTATCAAGTCTCAGATATTCCTTCATAGCAACACAAAACAGACTTACACATTCCTTTACCCTTGATTTTTTTCTCTTAGTGATTTTCCGTCTACTGACACCCTCTTCTCTACTCTTTCTTGTCTATAAATTCCCATTTGTCCATGCTGTATTAGGAGTTAAGCTCAATCTTCTCCTCCTTACAGACCTATCACAATGATCCTGATAAAGTTCGCCTTACAGTGCTTTAACAAGTATCACTCACTAATTTTTTTTGTCTAACACTCTACAGTATGGTATTCAGGTCTTTTCATAAATTGAAACAGAAACAAGAAACATTGGGATTGTTGAGTCTCACACAATAAATAACATGATTTATTTTGGTTCTCTTCTTAAATATAATGCAATACTGATGGGGCATTTGAGAATGTTTTAGGTTGATCAACTAAAATAAGATTAGCCCTCAAATACATGTACTTAGTAGAAAGGATGTGGTTAGGCATAAAAATTAACTAACAAGGCAAATTAATATACGAAAATCTAATTATCATAATTAGTTTTAAACACTATACTTCCCTCTATGCATTTTAAACATATAGTAAACTTACTATTTATTTTGTATTTCAAATACATAAAAATAAATATAAGATTTATATTTTTGCTAAACACATGTAATGGTCAAATGAAGTTTTACTATTACTTTTCATATATTATTTCAGATACAATTAACAAGTACAAATTCATACTATGAAGTTGTTTTTAGTTACATAATGAGATAATTTGTAACTATAGATTTCCTCTGTGCTCAAATATTTTATATAAATAAAATAGTTTTTGTTTTAACTTTTGTTTCAGGTTCAAGGGTGCATGTTCAGGTTTGTTATGTAGGTTAATAGTGTGTTGTAAGGGTTTGGTGTACAGGTTATTTTGTCAGCCAGGTAATAGTAGCTGGGATTACAGGCGTGCACCACAACACCTGGCTTTTTTTTTTATTTTTAGTAGAGACGAGGTAATAAGCAGAGTACTCAGTAAGTGTTATAGTTTTTTAACCTTCATCCTCCTTCAACCCTCCACCTTTAGGTAAGGCCTCAGTGTCTATTATCCCCTTCCTTGTGTTCATGTATACTCAATGTTTAGCTTCCACTTATAAATGAGAACATGTGGTATTCGATTTTATGTTCCTGCATTAGTTTATTTAGGATAATAACCTCCAGCTCCATTCATGTTGCTGCAAAGAACATGATCTCCTTCCAGTGTTATTATGTTTTAAACACATTATTTTTTATATTGCTGTATTTCCCCAGAGTAAGTTCTGTATCTCTTTTCTATAAGAGAATGATCAACCTCTCCTTCACCATCTTATTGACCAGAATTATCTTGCTAACCAGGAGAACAGGTGCATGAAGAGTCTTTAAAATTTAATGCTATGTCTGTGTTTAATACTCTTAAACAGTAATACATACCACCTTACACTACAAGGAAGGTAATAATGTCATGGGCAGAGAAAAAAAAGAATACAAATATTATCATTACCACAGTCTACAGGGGAAATACCAGGGTTGAGGTAAAACGTAGCTTATTAAAAGTAAACCGTTAAAATGATTTCATTTCTAGTGTAGGGATTAAGTGTAAGGACTCTGGTGCCAGGCTGCCTGATATCACTGTCCTCAGTACAACACTAATGTGTGATCATGGCAAGTCATGCAATTCTTTAGTATTTCTGTCTCTTTAAATGTAAAATGAAGATAGTAAATTAAATACATATTTGTTGATAGTGCCATGCCAAGCTATAATGAAATCTGAAGCAAAAGGAAAAATCAGTACTACTGATCCTTCCTTTCTTTAAAATGTTGACATTTTGTTTATCTTGGATTTTCCTACGTTATGTTTTAAATGTTGCATTAAAATATTCATCTTGCTGACTGATCTTTTGGTGACTTGTTCCATTGCCACCAAGATGAGTACCCTACTTTACCACGCAGGTTCTGAACCTGTCTCCTTAGATTTTCAAAATATTTGAATAAGTTAAAATGTGTAAATCATTTGCAATGAGGGCTAGTATACACTAAGTCCTAAATGAATGATAAATATAATTATTAAAATTGTGAAGAGATTAAACATTTTTATGCATATAAAAGTGGTCAAAAAATGTGAAATTAGACATAAAATGTGATTATCGTATAGCAATTCTAGACCTTTCATTCTAGTTTATAATGTTTCATAGTAATAATCCTGAAGTATTTCTGACTTAACTGCAATTAAAAATCTCAAATCATATCTAAAATAAATATTTATTGGTATTTAAGAGAACGTTTAGAAAACAAACATGAATCTTTTGCAATAATAGAGCAATTTTAAAATTGTTATTTTTGTAATTTGAAGGAAGTCTATCACATACCAAAACAATAAAAAAAAGTAAAATCTACTCATATAACCACAATACTCAGAAATACTATGAAACATTCATGTAATCCTACACCCTACATACCAATACACATGTGTGCATATTTCTCAGTGTTTTAAAGGAGATAATTATGCTTGATACACATTTTTCTTATTTGTTATTTAGTATTATTTAATAACATGTCTCTTCTTTAAGAGTATTTTTTAAATTATATTATAGTATTAGGTTTGTGCAAAAGTAATTTCAGTTTTTGCCATTAAATGTAATGGCAACTCTGCAGTAAAGTTTGTATAACCATTCTCTTTATTTTTATTGAACTATTTTTGAAATAAAGCGATTTTAAATGATATATCAGTAAGCAAGCACCATATATCTTGTTTCTAATTATTTCCCTAGGATTTGTACCAAGCAGTAGAATTACTATTATAAAGTGTTTATAAGTTATAAGACTTTTAGTTTATATTCCTTAATTACCCAACAGAAAATATAAATTTAATTTGTAACAAAAGAATTTTTATATATGATCTTGGGTCTTTACCAAAATAAGTATTTTTCACCAAATCTCAAATTTTTTGAAAAAACAAGCTGATGTCTGTTTCAGTGTAAAATGTTGACTATGTTTTTGTTGTTATTTATTTATTTTTCCACATTTTTATTGTGACAAAATACACATAGTAAAATATACCATCTTCACCATTTTTAAATGTACACTTCATAGTATTAAATACATCCATAATGTTACACGACCATCACAAGCATTATTTCCATAACTCCTTTTATCTTGTAAAACTAAAACTCTGCTTCTATTAAACAGCAATTCTCCATTCACCTCTTCTCCCAGACCCTGGCAACCACCATTCTACTTTTTGTCTCTATAAGTTTAACTTCTTAAATATATTAAAAAAAAACTACTTATCTCTGTACTCTGGTATAATATACTTCTCTCTACCAAAAGATTTGGTAACCAACACTAACCAATTATCCTACACCAGCTGGATGTCCTACAACTGGATGCAATTCTGACACTATCAACCTAATCCTATAGGTTAAAAGCTCAGTCACACACACACACACACACACACAAACACACACAATTCTCACTTGAGGTGCCTGTCCCAAGTCCAGATTGTTACTTGTTCTTATTACTGGCCAGCTATAAATCAGAGGATTCTACAGCCCCTTTTTTTAAGTTTTACTATTTGCTAGAGTGGCTCACAAAATTCAGGAAGGTGCCTTACTTATTATTGCCCACTTGTTATAAGAGAACACAACTCAGAAACAGCCAGATGGCAAAGATGCATAGGGCAAGGTATGAAGAACGGGGCACAGAGCTTCCATGCTTTCTCTGGACTGCCATCCTCCACATATTCAGAAACTAGGAAGCTCTCTGAACATATCCTTTTTGGTTTTATGAAAGCTTTGGAAAATGGGAGCAGAAACCAAAATATATATTTCTTATTATATCACAATATCAAACTAATTTAAATAACTCATATAAGTGTTACAATATTGTGTCTTTTTGGTTGACCTATTTCACTAATTATGTCCTGTGATTCATCCTTGTTGTAGCATATGTCAGAATTTCTTTCATTTTTAAGGCTGCATAATATCCCGTTGAGAGTGTGTGTGTATGTGTGTGTGTATGTGCACACGCACGTGTGTGTGTTATGTACATACACCACATTTTGTTTATCCATACATCCATTTATGAACATTTGGGTTGCTCTCACATTTTAGCTATAGGTTGAGTATCCCATACCCAAAATACTTGGGACCAGAAGTATTTCAAATTTTCCTTTCCACATTTTGGAAGATTTGCATATGCATAATGAGGTATCTTGGACGTGGAAACCAAGGCTAAAACCAAAACTTACTCATGTTTTATACATACCTTACACATGTAACCTGAATATAATTTAAACAATGTTTTAAATGATTTTATGTATGAAACTAAGTTTGTGTACATTAAACCATCAGAAAGCAAATGTTTCATTATCTCAGCCACCTACGTGGATAATCTGTGGTGGTTTGGCATCACTGTTATTCCTGACTCTGAATTTATATGCTACTGATAAAGAATTATCTTCCTACACTTATGTGCACATAAATACTTAACAGTACAAAATATGACACACAATTAATATGGTGAAAGAAATGGGTTCAGAGTAACTAAGTGGCAAGTAGCATCACCAGATGCCTGTATGAGCTGATAAACAACAGCAACAACAAACAACAGTAGGATTTCAGTCTCCATCTGTGATGCAGTGTTTTAATTAAAAGGTTACTTGACACTACATCTTCTTTTACTTTTTAGGTGAGAAGAAATGTAAGAAGCAGTTGAGGAACCAGGAACTGGGTCATGTAGGGATGAGGAGGCATTTTGTTGGATGACTTTTCAAGATCCTCCAGAATCATCTGCCTCATTAACAATATTTTTTTTGAAAAGATCAACAAAATTGATAGACCGCTAGCAAGACTAATAAAGAAGAAAAGAGAGAAGAATCAAATAGGCGCAATAAAAAATGATAAACGGGATATCACCACCGATCCCACAGAAATACAAACTACCATCAGAGAATAATATAAACAACTCTACACAAATAAACTAGAAAATCTAGAAGAAATGGATAAATTCCTCGACACATACACTCTCCCAAGACTAAACCAGGAAGAAGTTGAATCTCTGAATAGACCAATAACAGGCTCTGAAATTGAGGCAATAATTAATAGCTTACCAACCAAAAAAAGTCCAGGACCAGATGGATTCACAGCCGAATTCTACCAGAGGTACAAGGAGGAGCTGGTGCCATGCCTTCTGAAACTATTCCAATCAATAGAAAAGGAGGGAATCCTCCCTAACTCATTTCATGAGGCCAGCATCATCCTGATACAAAAGCCTGGCAGAGACACAACAAAAAAAGAGAATTTTAGACCAATATCCTTGATGAACATTGATGCAAAAATCCTCAATAAAATACTGGCAAACTGAATCCAGCAGCACATCAAAAGCTTATCCACCATGATCAAGTGGGCTTCATCCCTGGAATGCAAGGCTGGTTCAACATATGCAAATCAATAAATGTAATCCAGCATATAAACAGAACCAACAACAAAAAACATATCATTATCTCAATAGATGCAGAAAAGGCCTTTGACAAAATTCAACAACCCTTCATGCTAAAATCTCTCAATAAATTAGGTATTGATAGGATGTATCTCAAAATAATAAGAGCTATCTATGACAAACCCACAGCCAATATCATACTGAATGGGCAAAAATGGGAAGCATTCACTTTTAAAACTGGCAAAAGACAGGGATGCCGTCTCTCACCACTCTTATTCAACATAGTGTTGAAAGTTCTGGCCAGAGAAATCAGGAAGGAGAAGGAAATAAAGGGTATTCAATTAGGATAAGAAGAAGTCAAATTGTCCCTGTTTGCAGATGACATGATTGTATAGCTAGAAAACCCCATCGTCTCAGCCCAAAATCTCCTTCAGCTGATAGGCAAATTCAGCAAAGTCTCAGGATACAAAATCAATGTGCAAAAATCACAAGCATTCTTATACACCAACAACAGACAAACAGAGAGCCAAATCATGAGTGGACTCCATTCACAATTGCTTCAAAGAGAATAAAATACCTAGGAATCCAACTTGCAAGGGATGTGAAGGACCTCTTCAAGGAGAACTACAAACCACTGCTCAATGAAATAAAAGAGGATGCAAACAAATGGAAGAACATTCCATGCTCATGGGTAGGAAGAATGAATATCATGAAAATGGCCATACTGCCCAAGGTAATTTATAGATTCAATGCCATCCCCATCAAGCTACCAATGATTTTCACAGAATTGGAAAAAACTACTTTAAAGTTCATATGGAACCAAAAAAGAGCCCGCATTGCCAAGTCAATCCTAAGCCAAAAGAACAAAGCTGGAGGCATCACACCACCTGACTTCAAACTATACTACAAGGCTACAGTAACCAAAAAAGCATGGTACTGGTTCCAAAACAGAGATATAGATCAATGAAACAGAACAGAGCCCTCAGAAATAATGCTGCATATCTACAACCATCTGACCTTTGACAAACCTGACAAAAACAAGAAATGGGGAAATGATTCCCTATTTAATAAATGGTGCTGGGAAAACTGGCTAGCCATATGGAGAAAGCTGAAACTGGATCCCTTCCTTACACTTTATACAAAAATTAATTCAAGATGGATTAAAGACTTAAATGTTAGACCCAAAACCATAAAAACCCTAGAAGAATACCGAGGCAATACCATTCAGGACATAGGCATGGGCAAGGACTTCATGTTTAAAACACCAAAAGCAATGGCAACAAAAGCCAAAATTGACAAATGGGATCTAATTAAACTCAAGAGCTTCTGCACAGCAAAAGAAACTACCATCAGAGTGAACAGGCAACCTACAGAATGGGAGAAAAATTTTGCAATCTACTCATCTGACAAAGGGCTAATATCCAGAATCTACAATGAACTCCAACAAATTTACAAGAAAAAAACAAACAACCCCATCAAAAAGTGGGCGAACGATATGAACAGACACTTCTCAAAAGAAGACATTTATGCAGCCTAAAGACACATGAAAAAATGCTCATCATTACTGGCTGTCAGAGAAATGCAAATCAAAGCCACAATGAGATACCATCTCACACCAGTTAGAATGGAGATCATTAAAATGTCAGGAAACAACAGGTGCTGGAGAGGATGTGGAGAAATAGGAACACTTTCACACTGTTGGTGGGACTGTAAACTAGTTCAACCATTGTGGAAGTCAGTGTGGCGATTCCTTAGGGATCTAGAACTAGAAATACAATTTTACCCAGCAATCCCATTGTATATACCCAAAGGTATTTTGGGTATATACAAATCCCATTGTATATACCCAAAGGAGTGTAAATCATGCTGCTATAAAGACATATGCACACGTATATTTATTGTGGCACTATTCACAATAGCAAAGACTTGGAACCAACCCAAATGTCCAACAATGATAGACTGGATTAAGGAAATGTGGCACATATACACCATGGAATACTATGCAGCCATAAGAAATGATGAGTTCATGTCTTTTGTAGGGACATGGAAGAAGCTGGAAACCATCATTCTCAGCAAACTATCACAAGGACAAAAAACCAAACACCGCATGTTCTCACTCATAGGTGGGAATTGAACAGTGAGAACACTTGGACACAGGAAGGAACATCACACACTGGGGCCTGTTGTGGGGCAGGGGGAGGGGGGAGGGATAGCATTAGGAGATATACCTAATGTTAAATGACGAGTTGATGGGTGCAGCACATCAACATGGCACATGTATACATATGTAACTCACCTGCACGTTGTGCACATGTACCCTAAAACTTAAAGTATAATTTAAAAAAACAAATTTTTTTGTCTTAGAAATGTCTCTTTTGTTTTGTAAACTGACACGATTTCCTGTTCTGTTATGAACATATGCTGCTCTAGTCCTTCAATAAGCTTATCGCACATTTTTCTCATGCCATTTATGGGCACTCTTTCGGCAGTGTTAACAATTTCATCTTCATCATTATGTCGGTGTTCAAAAAGTTTCAGATTGTGGACCATTTCAGATTTCAGCTTTTCAGATTAGGGGTGCTTAACCTATATTGTGAATAATACTGTTATAAACATGGGTGTGCAAATATCTTGTTGAGATCCTGCTTTCAATTTTCTTGGTTATATACCCAAAAGTGGAATTGTTGGAATATGTAAGTAATTCTATTTTTAATTTTTTGAAGACTCACCACCTTCTGTTTTCCACAGTGGTTGTTTGCTGTTTTTGCATAGAGTGTTCTCAATATGTCTGTTAGATTAGTTTATTTATTATGTGTTTGAAGTCTTCTATTTCCTTATGTATCTCCTGTCTGGTTATCCTGTCTGCTATTGAGAGAAGGATATTGAAGTTTCCAACTATTATTCCAACTGTCTATTCCGCCTTTCAATTCTGCCAGTTTTTGTTTCATATATATGTTATGGTCTGCTATTAATTGCATAAATATTGATAATTGCTACAACTTCTTGTCTTCTTGCTAAATTCAACAACCTATTAATGTATAAAGTCCTTATTTGTCTCTTGTAAATTATTTTGATTTAAAGTCTATTTCATCTTATATTAGTATAACTACCCCTGCTGTCTTTCAGTTACCATTTGTGTATCTTTTACATCTTTTCACTTTCAATCCATTTATGTCTCTGAATCTAAAATGAGTTTCTTGCAGAGAGCATATCGTTGGATTACTTTTTAAATGCATTCTGCCAATCTCTGTTTTTCAGTGGAGCATTTAATCCATTTACATTTAAAGTAATTACTGATAAGGAAGAACTTACATCTGTCATTTTGCTAGCTATTTACTTTTTGTTTGTTTGTTTTGTTCTGTTTTGTTTGAGATGGAGTCTTGCTCTGTTGCCCTGGGAGAATCTCAGCTCACTGCGATCTCCGCCTCCTGGGCTCAAGCAGTTCTCCTGACTCAGCCTCCCTAGTAGCTGGGATTACAGGCGTGTGTCACCACACCTGACTATTTTCTTTTAATTTTTAGTAGAGACGAGGTTTCCCCATGTTGGCCAGGTTGGTCTTGAACTCCTGACCTCAATTGATTGGCCTGCCTTGGCCTCCCAAAGTGATAGCTATTTGTTTTCTATTAGCGCTTTTTTGACCCTGATTTCCTGCATTTCTACCTCCTTGTGTTTGTAGTTTATTTTTTGTGAAATGTTTAAATTCCTTTCCCACTTTCTTTTGTGTATATTCTATATCACCTACTTTTCAATGGCCCAGCCTGTATTTTCTGGCTTGAAAAAGAGCGAAAGAAAATAAGGGGATGGAAAAGGCTGCCAGCTCTTTAAATCTCCTGGAAGTCATTTTAGCTGTAGTGGAAGAGGCTTGCAACAATAGGGGAGATAAAATGGTTGCCTGCCTCTTTGTCTGCACCTCTGTGATCAGAAGCATCAATGAGCAATTAGAACATAGATAGCTGGTATTTGGACGACAGGGTCCATTTTTTACCCTCCACACCTTTCCTATCAACCTCTGATTTCTGCATGCTATATGCAAGCTCCACTGGTAACATGTGCACAGCTGCCTGCCTAGAAACTGAGGATGAGGGATAGATAGAAAGCTGCTACTGCATCAATACCTCAAAATTACTGTCCAAGTCTTCCCCCAGAAGTTGCTAGCCTTGAATAGACCCCAGAGTTTCAAAAGAGTTAAATCTAACAGATTCTGCCAGTACAATTGTTGTCTAGCTGGGGAGACAGATTTCTGGTGCTTCCTACTATGGCATCTTCCCAAAATCCTCCTTCTAGGTTGACTGTATCTTAATTTTAACTTATTTTATATTTTGTTTCTAGTTTGGTCTTTCTCTGTTTGTACTCATTCATATTTAAGCATTTTTGAAGGTAAAGGCTTACAATATGCCTTAGTTCAACAAGATCATATTTATGCAAAAGCAAGTGAATAGCAAGTGCAAAGCAAGGACTTAATAGCAAACATTTTTTGAAGCCCTGAGGAAAACCTATACATGAATTCCATGAAGACTCTATATCAGAAGATATGCATAAGAAGCAGTCAATAGACTATGAACACATTGATTATAATGCAAAGAAGTAAAAATACTAACTCTATAATTCAATGTTTCTCAAATTGTATTTCCAAACAGAAATACTCATCCTCATCTGGTGCACTTCCTCCAAATCCAAAATCAAAGGACCCTTCCCAGACATAGTGAATCAGATACCTATAGAGTATATATACACTTTTATTTTATATAATCTTTCAGAGTATAAAATACATGCTAAATTTTAAAAGTTATTTTAATATTGGACACATTTATGGATTGTCTGAAATGGATTATTAAATAAATAAATAATGGTAATAGGTTACTGGGATTTTTGTAGTAATGTAAATAGATTCAATATATTAAACCACAATCATATATGTGATATGGTCACATTTGAATACATTTGTAGAAGGACTATTTCTCAGCAATGTAACTCAAAAATTACATAATGGGAATTTATGTGATTAAAGGCATAGTTATTGTGCAATCAAGTAAGTACATATAAAATGTTTCCATATTAAAATGCATAGGGATATTATTTATTTAGAAGTATCTTGGTACAATTATGTTATTTTTCTAGAAAAAAATTCCACCCTGTAGTTGAGAGTCACAGATTTATTTTCATACCAAAGAGAAAATATTAGAAATTTAAAAGCAGAGACATCGAGAAAAAGTATAGAAAAATAGGAAAGCCAAAGATTTAATTTTTTTCTTGAACATAAAACATCATATAAACATTAATTTCCACACTCTCTTACATATTTTAGGGCCCTGTAAAGAATTATTATGGATAGTTTATATTAGCCATAATTATGGCCTAGCTGTTAGGTTGGGGAAAAAGTAATTGTGGTTTTTGCCATTGTAAGTAATGCCCAAAACCTCAATTACTTTTGCATCAATGTATAATAATTCCCATGGCAACCAGTAAAATGTAAAGTAAAATGATAATGATTAGGTTAATTTTTTATTGAAGAGCTAATTCCACTAAAAAACTATTAGAAACTCTTGCTGATAATTTGGTATGAACACAGGTTTTTTTTTTTACAAGACTATATTGATGCTTTGTTTAATGAAAACAGTTCATTGTCTTTTAGTCGATTAAAAAATTATGTAACCAGAATGCCGTATTGTAACCACCTAAGACTATTTTTATAATAATATAGAGTCTATGAAAAAGATCAATAATTAAAGACTAAATCATCTTAGAGCTAATAAACATTTCACTAAGGTATCAGATTATATTTCAAATTAATTTTATATTCCTTGCTTTAAAAGATTAAATCTGCTACTTTAATAATATTATAAATTATTTATTTATTTATTTATTTTTGAAATGAGATCTCACCATGATGCCCAGGCTAGTTTTAAACTCCTGGGCTCAAACATTCCTCCTGTTTCAGCCTCCAAAGTAGCTGAGATTAGAGGAGCGAACCACTTTCCCCAGCTCAAGGTTACAAATATTTGAGTAAGGAGTTCAGATGCTTTTTAGTCTTATTTAGCACTTTTGTATTATATTTAGGATCAATTTTTCTGAAATTATTAATGCATTAACTTATTATACCCCAATTTACAAAATATCCATTATTACCTCATATGAATTTTTTAAAATTTGAACTTTAATGTACAAATATTTGTGCAATTCTCATTCTTATTAATCAACTGTTTCATGTAGAAAAAATAAAAAATAATGATATTTATATTATACTCTATGCCCTGTGAGTAGAAATCAGGAAAATCAAAGAAATGTCGAGCTATGTAATTTATTATATCCATGTAATTGGCAAGCAATTTTATCCCAAAATAATTTTTATCAGTGAAATAAAGATTTTTGATGATTCCCTAAACTCATTCCTATTCAATTATTCCTCATAGTTAGCATGGCCTTAGAATCCCATATGATAAACATGCTGCTGGTCATATGGATATTATATTGATTTTATTTTATATTTTATAGACATAGGATCTCTCTCTGTCACCCATGACCAAGTGCACTGGTGTGATCATAGCTCACTGCAGCCTCAAACTCCTGGGCTCAAGCCGTCCTCCCATTTCAGCCTCCTGAGCAGCTGGGTCTACAGGTGCCAACCACTGTGCCTGGCTTAGATAGACTTGAAGTGTTTTTGTAATCTTGATATGAGGGTTTTTAAAATTTTTTCTTGTCTCTCTTTCCATCTGTACAATAACATCTTTTAAGTTATTTTTTATGCTTTATTTCTCTCCTTCTTCCCCATCCTCTCTCTCTCAATTAAATGCTCAGTATAATATATGACACAACTTGTATGCTCATTCAGCAAATATTTATTGACTGATTACAACTGTTGTAAACACTAGAAATACATCCTAGATAAATAGAGTTTATCCTGTAAAAGTGGAGCCAGACAAAAGTATTAAGGGAAATATGTTGTACACGCTATAGAAATATGTGCTAAGAACAGAAGCGGAAATGGAATATTGGAGAGGAGTTTCAGTTTTAAATAGGATGGTCAGGGAAGGCCTCATTCATAGGTGAGTTATTTGAAACACGAGTTGCAGCTTCACACAACTACACAACAGGTGCAATGTGAATGCTGTCATTCACATTGTAATCTAAGTGACTGATGTTTCCTCAGCTGTGCAGACCACAACATATGCAGTTATAAGTAGTGCCCTGGTAAAGACTTGAAGGAGTTAAGTGAGAAATCTATGTGCATATTTGGAGAAAATAATTTTAGGCAAGGATCATACATAAAAAGATTTTGAGACAGAAGCATTTTTATGTTTTTCTACCATCACAGAAGTCAGTGTGTTTGAAAGGTGTTCAATTAATATTTGGATACAATTTAAATATCATCCATAATCAATCATTTTGACTATAGATTAATCCAAATTGACATTTTAATGTCCTAAAACAATACAAATAAAATTATTCTGTCTATACTTTTCTGTATTGGATAACTAAAACTTCATCACAATTGAATATTTACCATCATTGCCATTTTTGAAACCATGTATGAGTAGATAACATAAATATTTATGACAAAGGAAAAGGTGCTATGTACTGATCAGCATTTATGTATTATTATTCCTTTTGGCATTTCAGAAAAAAATGCAGATTAATTTTATTCATTTTGTTATCTGTACATAGTGACTTAGTTTAGTTAGGCATGCTGAAATAGGTAAGCACACAGAATTTGCAGATATTAGTAGGTTTGGATTTTTTTTTTAGGTACCTACATTGTGAAACACCTTATTAAATATATTTCTACATTTTGTGGATGGATGCTCATAATCAGAAGAAATCCAAATACATCTGTGTGATGACTGAAAAATAAATAGAGCTGTGGTTCTTTTGAGTTGGTGCCCTGCTTCTTCCCAGCTGGGACTTTTAGCTCAATCAAAACAAAAGGGATGTTCTGGAGCGAGAATTAAAGAAATCTTTTGAGCGTTTTCAGATACACTGTCTGCATTAACCCTTTTCAAGTTTCAAGTTTTAGATCCCTCTTGCTCCCACTGCAAAAGTGTTCTAGGGGAATTGTAATTCTTTGTTCCATTTCCAGAATTTTCTGTTTTTCCAAATGAGTGCTTTATATGCCAACAATGCAAACTAAGCCCCCAAATTTAAAGCAAAAATAACAGCTGGTCCTTTCTAGCCTACACTTCAGAATATTAAATTCTAAGTGTGTTGTGAGAAACTCATTTCAACGACCAATTACTGCTTCAAAGACACAACGAAGACTAAGTAAGAAAGCATCATCAACCTCACATTTCTGAAGTGTATGCGCTCTGTGTGAGCCAAACCCCATGAAGCGTTGAACCAAACAACCACAGCAGGTTCCTATCCTCTTGGTTATTCAGCATTAATTTCTTAATGCCTGGTTGGGCTTGCTGATGAGTGGCCTCTATCTCTCAGGTATTCTGCAACATTGATTTCCAGACTTGGAGTGAATTATTTGTTCGTTTTCTCTTTGCATGATTTAACACAGTTGGATTGTTATAAAGAGAGGGGGAGGGAAGAAAGCTCTTGAATAGATTTGCCCTACTTGAGGCTTTCTGTTTAGTAATACTGATGTGAATATACATGGTTTTCAAAAGATTGCTAAGATTTCTTCCAGCTATAAAGCTCTAAAATTTTGAATTGAACTACCAAATAACTATAATTAATAACTTTCATACCCAACATATACAGTTTATAATTAGGATCACAGTAATAAAATATTTTCAGTGGATATAAAAAGTCCTTCCAGCCAAAATATGTTTTTCTTCAAAAATTTTACTATCAGGAATGTTTTATTAATGTGTTTTTTCCAAAACACTTCCTGAGCAAGTTCAAAGTCTCTTTTGCATGTTTGCTATCTTATAATTTAGTGTAATCGCTTTGAACAAAAGTGTCACCTTTCAATTTTTTTGTATTCTTCTTATCTAATATAGTACTGAATGAGTGCTCTAAATTTCTGGTACTACACCCGAATAGCATGTAAGCATCGGTAATTTGTTAAATATCTAAAAATATGGTTATCTGATTTAAAATCATTTAGCAATAAAAGCAATAGACATAGAGAACAGATAGTGTTTATTTCTGAGTCATAGCCATCTTATTACGAATATTCCTGTTTTCATCATCCAGTCATCAATATCTTCATCAATATTTAAGAAGTTTGACATAAAAATAAATTTACTTATAACACAATTTTAAAATGATTATTTGTGATTAATACTTTTAATTAGAAATTACAACTCATAGAAACATATAAACATACAAAAGTTATCTAAAGGATCTTAAATAAATTTACATAATAACTTAATTATTTACCTCTGGAAGAAACTCTCTACTGAAAGACATAATGAATTTTTGTATCTATATTCAGTTAGTAATTTTCCCAATGTCGCCCCAAATATAATTCTGTCTCAAACATGTCAATTGAGTACTTGTGTGCACACATATGTCTGAGCATCAAGAATGGTATAATAAAACCTAGTCTATATTTCATATTCAGGGGATACACATTGTACAGATTTAGATTAAAAAATGAAAGACTTTTAGATAAACAAAAATGTAAATTATCTTGAGAGTTTCAGATAATTTACTTAATGTTATCAAATGTAAATTATATTAATGTGGGTGTTTCCCATATTTAAATGTTCCTCAAAAATGTTCTAATATTAAGTTTTCTAAAGTCAGTGTCAAATTTTTTTTTGGATGAATGAATCTTAAAACTTTTTCTTATACAACAAATTCAACAATTTCAGATTTTTGTGAATAATTGGAAATTGAGTAAAATGGAATATTATGCTGAACATGCAGTATAATACAGTCTCCTCTTATCTGTAGGAGATACATTCCCAGATCTCCAGTGGATGCATGAAACAGCAAATACACCATGGAATACTATGCTACCATAAATAGGAAAAAGACTGTGTCCTTTGCAGGGGCATGGATGAAGTTGGAAGCCATCCTCAGCAAAATAACACAGGAACAGAATATCAAACACCACATGTTCTCACTTATAAGTGGAAGTTGAATGATGAGAACACATGGACACATTGTGGAGGGAACAACACACACTGGGGCCTGTCAGCAGTGTGGGAGGCGGGAGAGGATCAGGAAGAATAGCTAATGAATGCTGAGCTTAATACCTCCATGATGAGATGATCTGTGCAGCAAACAACAACGACACATGTTTACCTCTGTAACAAACCTGGACATCCTGCACATGCAACCCTGAACTTAAAATAAAAGTTGAAGAAAACAAAAAAAGAAATTAACAACAGATAGTACTGAACCCTATATATACTATATTTTACATATACACACTACTTATAATACAGTTGAATTTATCAATTAGACACAGTAACAGGTTAACAACAACAAATAAAAATAAAATAGAACAATTATATGAATATGCCAGCATCATTATTCTTGAGCTTTGAGACTATTATTAAATAAAATAAGGATTACTTGAACACAAGCCCGGCAATTTCACAAGTTAGTCTGATAACAGATGGTTACTAAGTTGCTAAATCAAGCAGGTAGCCTATGTAGCATGGATATCCTGGATTAATAAATGATTGAAGTCCCTGGCAGGACAGAGCAAGATGATGCAATATTTGTGTTACTCATAAAAACATACAGTTTCAAATTTTTGAGGTGTTTACTTCTGAAAGTTTTCATTTTATTATTTTTGGACTCTAGTTGACAGCAGCTAACTGGAACCGAAGAAAGCAAAACCTCAGATAATGGTGGACTACTGTATTAGCTTTATCATATAGTCAGTTGGTCAACTAACTTTTAAAATTTCATAAAATAGGGTAGTAATAAAAAATATGGAAGGAGTACTTTGTCATCTGGTGAAGATTCTATGCTAAATTCTAGATCTTAAAACAGGGAAATTATCATTGTGACCTGATACATTTTTAAGCTACTGGAAATACCAACCAACAAATTAGATAATTAGGATTTCAAAACCTTCTGCATTTTTTGCTTGATTTTGTGAAACTTCTGTTTCATTTGAGCATATTTCATCCAAAAATATTAAGTTAATACTATTTTTTAACATATGCAGGGAGCTTCAATTGTTTTAAAAAATGCTAGTCAATTTGCTTACAAATTCAGATTACCTCCAATTTTTATTATAATGATGAGGACATTGACAATAAAAACAGCAACAACAACATAATAAACAAGAAACCTCTAAAAGTAGAAGCACCTGTGCACTTTTCTACCTATGAAGGACATGTGTAGAAGGGTGTAGAGATGAAAGAGAGACTCATAAACAGATCCATCATAGCCCTGTTTTATAATTATAGATTTATTTAAATGAATTTAGTTTTTAATGGTCAGTCAATATGCCAAAGAGTACTTCTAATTATCCTGCAAATTGTTTGCGTCTGTGACTAATCCTACTGCAATACATCTTTGCCAATCAACTCACACCATTCCTGAATACTGCTTATTTATATCTCTGTCAATATTCACTGTTATTTTACACTGTACACCCACACTTTTTCTCTTTTACAATTATTTTGCATGTACTTTACATACCTATTGCTTTTCTACTGAAAATTATATGGAATTTGAATCACATTTTACAGTATCAGAAAAAAAATTGGGTTGTACTTAGTTTATTCTTGCTTGTAGCTTTAGAAACCTAGAGGTCATTTATTTGTATAGCTAAAATTTTAAAATATAATTAAAACGCTCAATAAAATGGGAGATATTTGACTATTTTTAAGTCAGCTTGTGAGGGAACTATAATTTAACGTTCTGAAATTTATCATGCACTATAGGACCTGACAATTCTGTGTACAGATAAAAATAAAGGCATTATTTTAGAAGATCTCACTAAAGTCCTTTGCAAATCTAAAATTCAAGGAGAATAAAATCAAAATTTGGTATTAATAACTAAACAAAACCTCCCTGTGGGCACCTATCCTTTCAAAAAGGGAATAAAAAGATGTCTTTGTACTAGGCAAAATAGATCTATAAAGTGTTGCTTTATGCTTACAGAGTATGATGGATAAGTAAGCCACACTGCTGCTTGCTAAAGAAATGGCATTTATTTCAAAGTTTCTGAATGTTTTTTGTATTACTAATAGATAAAGTCTTCATGGCCATGAATAGATAGATAAATTTTTGTAAAGTTCCTTCATAATGTTTGGGATATAAAAAAACTGTACAGAATTATGTTTGGCACAGGGAAAAACAGACCAGAGTAAATTAGCAAAGCTAAGAGAAACTTTTACTTCTGGACACAACCCAAATAAAACAGGTTGAGAGAACAATGAGAAAAATTTCTAGTTAGAGGTACTCTGTAGTTAGGATGGCCATGGAACTTTCAAGAACAGGGTACCTGTTATTTTCCTATTTTTTAAAGAAAAAACTTGCTTATGAATATAAGCCCGAAATCTTAAGCAAATCTTTCCATAGAGATGAATATTAGAATTTTTTTTTGGAAGGGCTAGGTCCAGAGTTGTTTCAGTGGAACAAAATAGTGACAAAAAGAATTAGTTCGTCTGAAGTGAGCTATAATAAATATGACATATTCAGTGGGACTGGAACATTAAAGGTCACTCAGAAGAAGGTAAGTTTACTCTGAATATCCTTAAAGATATTAAAGGTAATGCTGGTTTTCATTTTAAAAACAGGTGATCCCATCGCAATGAAGACAACTGGAAAAGTGAAATTTTATTATAAATAATTCTGCCCTGAGCACAAAGAGAAAACATTTTTGGTATCTATTCTGCATAATCAGGTAGAATTATTATAGGTTTTTGGTTTTAGGGGAATTGATCTTTTATGACTATATATTCTTTCAGTTCAGACATTCTAAAATAAGGCTATAGAATGGGTGCATAAGAAATTTCAATTCTAGCGAACCATTACAGTTTAGAGAATTATGACTAGAAATGACATCATATATGAAAAAGTCATGTAAGAAATCTAATTCTCTGACCTCTCTGGTCATTGTCCACATCACACACACTTCGTTGGCCGCTCTGGCCTCCTTTATTTCCTTAACTCATAAGAGTACATATACAATCACTTCTGCAGGCACACAACTGGCCAAAGCAAATCACATGGTGAAAGCAGATAACAATGTTGTGAGAAAGAATATTCCTCCTCTGGTGGTGCAGAAGGGTCCTTGTTGAATTTGCCCACATTCTGATACAATATGAGTTTGGGGATTTCATTTTTAACAACATGTGGCCTATATGCATTTTTTGGTATATTTTATTTTGTGTCTCCTTGAAGGCCGAAATTTCAGGAGAAGCTCATATAATTAGCTTACTTACTCCCAAGATCCATTTAGAAACATCAGGTATATTTACTTACTTACTTTGAGGGAGGCAAACCTAGCCAAATGGAAGCTATGCTAACAATGCAAAACATTGCTAAATTTGAATGTGAACACAATAGCTACCTCTCTAAATGTTTAATATGACTTTGTTTTCATTTTTTTCTAAAAGAAATATTCTCTAAAGTTTTTTTTCTAAAAAATATTCCACTCCTAAGCTAATACTACATTCATTTTAATAATCTTCTCAAGTCCAGATAATTATGACCAGGGCTTTGAGAAATATATTTTTCAAGCAAAAAGTTTTCAATTCTATTTATATTACTAAAACCTGTTGTTAATACAATAATGAAGATACTCATCTACCTGATAACAATGGTTACCAGATAATAAATCGCCAAGCTGATTATACTTCTGCTCTCAAATTTGACTTTTTGATTTTTGTCAGAGAAACACATTCTCAATCTATATTTGTCTTCATTTATAGAATTATGGTAAAAATAACTATTTTGTATGTTTTGCATGAAAAAAAGGCAAAGATGTAAAATTATGAGCACCAGTGAATGATGCTGATCGTTCGCACAATTATGGTTACTATTATTATTACCATTTAGCGTTTGTCAACCTCTAAATTTTAATTAGGGATTCAGCTAGGCAACTTACTAAGTTCCCTTTATTTATTCATTACATCACGAGAAAAATGCAAAAAGGTATTTTAGATAGGTATTAGTACTAGGTACTAGGTAGTACTTTAGGTAGGTATTAGTACTAACCTCATATTATAAATAAACAGGTAGAATGGAGTTAGTAGGCCAAGTAGACACAGATAGTTCATGGTGAGAGTGAGTTTTCTGACAGCCTCATTATAATGTATCCAGAGCAGAGTGTGTAATATTTAGCTGAGGAGCAGCCACTACCCTACTTTCTTTCCTGGCATATATCAATAATCAGGCAGCCACTACCAATTAATCAGAGTTTGCATTCAATTTGAAATGTGTTTATCATCTGGCTCTAAAATGATATAGTTCACAGAATAAACACCTTTGTAAAATTAGTAACTAGACCTCCAGCTTGAGCCAATCCTCTTTCTCTTCTGGTCTAAGTCCAGATGGGATTTTACAATCAGGCACTCATGGAGTGCTGAAAGAAAAAAATCAATTTAGTCATGCATGTGGGGGACAGGGGCCTGCATGTCCCCCCTATATTTTAAAATATACTCTCTAGATACTGATATTAGGTGCTGCTGATGTACTCTATCACTACTTTAGGATTAAGAAAATTTGGGATGTATAAAAATAGTTGAAACAGTTAAAAAGGAGATAATAGATTGTTTATGAAATAATTTTGTGCTAGTTAAAAAGAGAAATAAACAGTGGATAAGTCAATAATGTGTATTCTAGGAAAATAAGAAAACTTTTCATACAATTAGAAGACCAAAGGAGAAACCCAAGTAAGGCTATTAAAAATGCTTAAACTACAGAATGAGAATCTGAAAACATTGCAGAAGTAGTAACAAAGATGTCAGGAATACCATTAAAAACAATACTTAGCATCTTTGTTTTTCTTATTTAACTTCATTCTCTAAACAAAAATAGTGTGATATACTTGTGGAAGCATATGGAATGTCATGAAATTGGTATTTGGATTAAAAGAAAGAGACTATGAAAAGACTGGTGCTCAGCAATTTCTGCAACATTAGAACAATGCATTTCCTGTTCTCTTTATCATAGCAATTTATGAATGCCAATCTTAAAAAGGATAACACATCTCAATCTGTTTTCATGAAGATCCCAGGAAAACCAAGAATTTTGCTGCAGATACTGCTTATATACCTATTAAAAGCTGTATAAACAGTACCCAAATTAAGAGAAAAAGGTACATGATCCCTTGAATATGCAGAGAACACATGGTAGTCAAATACAAGTCTGCAGGCAGATACTTTTGCACCCTACATCACATACACTCAACTGCCTCTAGTTTCAGCTTTGACTACTCTATACAGGTTCATGTGAACTCTGATTTACCAACAGCTGATGGCATCCTGCTTCCAGCAACATTGTAGCTGTGAGTCTTTTTACTTCCTCACACAGGTGTTTTAGCCAAGTGGCAGACCACTGGGCCCATGGATGAATACATCTCAGAAATGAGAGGTAGCTACTGTCTACAGATGAACAATTCTGGGTGTCAAACTGTACTTGCCAATGGTCCCAGAGAAAATGAACTTTCGTTATGTGCCATAGCAAGTTGGATAACAACAACATTATATCAAAATTTCCTCCTATTTGTCTTACTCTACTTGATTCCTACTTCTTGAGATCACTCCCAAATAAAAGTAATTACCATCAAAAAATAAATGACCTACATCTGAGTTTTTATCTTCAGTGCTATTTTTTGAAAACCCAAAGTAAATCAGGATATTATATTCACTTGGATCACCAGTGGTGCTCTTTCTCGCTCTCATTCTGTTTCCTTTTTTATTTTTAGTTTTTTGACTTAGAGCAAAAAAATTATCTAGTTCTACCTTAATTCTTGTACCACTAAGTACAAATGAATATATATATATATATATATATATATATATATGTATATATATATATATATAGTTTTCCTTAAATAGGCATCCATTTCAACACATGAAATAATAAGAATAGAAAATACTGGGATAATCATTATACTGTCCCAATTCCTCAACCCTCATGCCAGCCCTCCATATGCTTATTTAATCCACTGTAGCATAAGCCTTTATGCCTTCCCGCATTACACTAAAGCATAGAAGAATTCTTTACATCAGTATATGTGTCTGTGACATTCTGAAGGTGCTCACTTCAGCGGCAAACATTACAACTTGTCAAAGAAAACATATATGTCCAATGTTTGGCTTCCGTACATCTTAGATACAAACTATCAGCTGTTTGCTCAATCCTATTACTGACCATGTACAGAGATGAGGAACACTTACAGAGCACATAGTAAACTATTGTATAGCCAGAACCAGAAAAAGTATGGTCCACAGGCAAAATCCAGCCCACTAATATTTTGTAAAAAGGTTTTATTGGAATAGAGTCACACTCATTTGTTTATATATTGGCGATGACTGCTTTCACATTACAAAAGCTGAGTTTCGTATTTGCAACAGAGATTGTGTGGTATAAAAGCAAACAATATTTACTACCCATCCCTTTAAAGAAAATGTTTGCTGACCCCTGTCCTACCCTATGACTCTGGAATCGTGTGAAACAAAATCTTCATTTTGTTTCTTCCTATCAACTTTTATGCTATATTAAAAGAAACTATGGATTTACATTGTATTCCCCGATCAAAAAGCATAAAAGCACTTAACCTTAATCATGACTTTGCAGCATGGACACCTTTGAAATATTTATAAAGCAAAGGACATTCCAACAAAGAAGTAACAATGCCTGATTAAAATGTCACTATCCCTGCTCCAGCAACTGTGTGAGTGCGCTGATCAGCTCTCTCAAGAGAGGATCTGCTTTTGGCGTATAATTAACTGACAGACTATACTTGCTACATGTTCAGTACCCAAAATACATACAGGCCAATCCTGAGATTGCTCCCAGTCAATGACTGAGTTCAGTACGGATGCTGGACTGGAGCTCGTAAATCAGATGGTCTTTGCTCCAGGGCTTCCTATCCAATTGGCGGAGTGTTTCTCGGAATTTCACTACAACCTGAGTCTCTTCCTAGCCAGCCCTCTTTACGATCTTCTGCCCTGTCAAGGGGGCCTGTATGGTTTTCTGAACGCTCTGTCTCTCTCTGCCTAACCGTGTGTCCTTTTTAACCTACAAAAGGAATTTCAACACATTCTCCGTCTTGGAATCTACTTTTGGAGAACCTGAATTTACATACCTGCTCTGTTCTTATTTCTATTTGCTATGTTTTATTATCTATCCCACTCAAGTTATATATAACACCAAAGTAAACTATGACTGAAGAATGATGGTTTCTGAAAATTATTTATGTGGTTATAGCTTGGAATAGTTATAGAACCAAGAAATCTGTTGGGAGAGATCATTTCTCAATAGTGTCATGTTTCTACACATCTTCTGAGAAGAGACATTACTCAGCTACATTTCTCTGAACTACATTTTCAGGCCGTGCAAACAGCCTTGAAAGTTAGGGATAGTTTCTCCACGTGGAGCACATAGCAGATTTGACTGCTGTCCAAGATAGTAAAGATAATCTTTCCCTCTCGTGCAAGCATTGAGTAGGTTTTCTAGAAGCTTCTTTAAAAGATGGAGTTTCCTAAGTTAATGTATCCTCCGTTGTACAAAAATCAACAGTGTGAGCAGCATCTACCTGGGCAGCTCCACATTTGCCCCATAGAAACTAGGAGGCAAGGAGAACCAAGGAGTTCATGCTGTTTGCTGCGCTAAAGAAAGGAAGTCTTTAGTCTTTTGCCTGAATTCACACAACTATGGCAGAGTAGCTTGCTAGCATGCAGAGTTAGAAGCCCAAACTCTTCAGAGTTCTTGACAAAGTCTAATCAATTAAAAAACAGAGAGAGGCTTTTTTTTTTTTTACAAAATTATTGAATTTTAAATAAATAACCACTAAATGTCCTTTCCCCAAATATAAGTTTTACTATCTTACCTCTGTGATAGGTAAATAATTTTCATTGAAAATTATATTTTAAAATTCAATAGACTTGTTAAGACCATTTTGGGTTGCTGCCAGAGAATTCAAGAGGGAAGGAAAATGCATTTGCCCACAAATCTATATAGTTATATTTTCAAACTATTTTTTTAATCAACAAAGAACCCATTGATTTAGGTAAATAAATCACGAGTATTCTTATTTCTCCAAACCTCACATGATTATTTTAGATGAAAGCAGATCTACGGTTTAAACTTTGGCTCTGTCTGGCATTGGAAAAATGACTGACAGGATTTGGCACCTCATGTAGAAGCCTCCTCATTTACCCTTTAGCACTTTAGCTGTCTGTATGTTCAGCTCATGTTCAGCTATGATGATTATTTTATGCAAATAAAGTAATATT
Source organism: Homo sapiens (assembly GCF_000001405.40). Lineage (NCBI taxonomy): Eukaryota > Metazoa > Chordata > Mammalia > Primates > Hominidae > Homo > Homo sapiens. Next base: position 135,731,811 of record NC_000004.12, on the reverse strand, counting down.
ATGTAGTTTATACTAAGACAGGAAAAAGCAAAAGGAGCCTGGAGAGGACTCTGCAGCTGTGTAGATTGACTGTATATGGTCCTTGGGGGATGTGATTATCAGACAACTGGATCATCATTAGTATAATTAGTGTACTTGGCAACTGCATTAGTGGAATTATTGTCATTGCTCACAGCTTGTCAGTGCAATGTTTTCTGATTTGCTAAGTTTTGTTTTTATAAATGAAACTGACCATATGAGTGAAATCAAGAAAAGTAAATACTTCCGTTATCTCTATTCAGTCAATTTAAGAAGTGATACATAGCAAGTGAATAATTTTAAGCCTAAAGGAGTATTTCCTGAAATTCAATGGTTAAATTTTAACTGCTCTGGAAGTAAATGTATGGAATTAAAACAAAATGTGTTCTTGTTTATGAGCAAATTGTCTGTTTATATTAATTTTTTTATTACCAACTGCAAGTCAATTCTTAGAAGGGAAATGCTGAGGCCAATCTTAATTTATCTCTCCTAGCACTTTGACACCCAGTGGGCCTGCAGTAATTATCCACTAAATATCTTCCACTCTCTATTCTCTTTTGGAAGAAATCATATTTTGAAAAGTATGAAATAAATAGAAGCATGTTTTTAGTGCTCAGTACTGCTTTTTTTTGTTGTTGGTTTTGAAAGGTTGAATTTCTGATTAATGTTAACTGATCTCCAATAATTCTGATGACCAATGACAATGCAACCCTGGCTGTTCAGGTTTGGCAAAGCTCACCATTTCCATGCTAGAGAAACACAACCTTGATCCACATGATGTTTATGACTGTTTGCATTAGACTGAATCTTGAAGCACAAAACTCTTCTGTTTATTTCCAGTTTTGCTTCTCTCAGGAGATTGATCAGACAAGGTCATACTATATGGAAACTCAGGCTTTCCAACTTCTCTTCATCAAGTTTAACTATCTCTGACTCCCAACCAGAAGGTGAAAAACTGAGTATGTGTCTTTACTGAAACAATATAAAATATTGATGACAGTCTTATTATTTTTTGTCATGTAGATTTGGATCTCATTCTCCACACTTTTTTTACCATATATACATATATATATATATATACGCACATACATTTTTACCATATGTGTGTGTGTGCGTGTGTGTATGTATATGTGTGTGTGTGTGTGTGTGTGTATATATATATACAAGAAGCATATATATATATACACACTTTTTTAAAAATATATACACATATATATATATATATATATATACACACACTTTTTTTTTAAATTTCTGCTGTCTCCACAGAGTAGCCGGTCTCAGAAAAAGTCATAGAGCTGACCGTATCCAAGAGTCTGGGAAATACAACAATAGGATTCAGTAATATCAACACTTACTACTCAAATTTATTATCATTTTTATGAAAGATTTAAAAATATTATTTATTGGATGTTCCTCTAGAAATATAATCCAGCATGTGTACTTTGAAAAATATTTTTAAAATTTTACCCAATAAATAAAGATTACAACAAATTAATCCATAAAAAGTTAAATATTTAGAGATCGTATTCAGAAATTTATAAAAGCTTGCTGAAGGAAATAATATTTATTTTAGCTTCAAAGAAAAATAACGGAAATAAGGTATCAGAAAACTATTCAAAATATATCTCACAGATGACAAATATTACAGCTCATGATAAAAATAAATTTGAAAGCAAGCACATGACACAATTTTCTCAAACAAGTAAAGGGATAACAATTTTTTTAAGCATTATTGAAATGCAACACATTTTTCACTTTCTCCTTTTCACTCCTGAGTTCTTCCATTCTTTATAAAATCTCTAGGCCAGCAGCATTCAAAACACCCAATTCATTGCATACAATAAGAGCTTACTAAAGTCAAGAGAAATTAAAGGGTATTTTCAATAAATAATTGGATTAATATAATTAACTTTGATTCAGGTTTAAATAGTTTAATTAATGTTAGCTTTGAAAAGCAGAGACATTTTCTCAGCATGAATTGTTTTAGTAGAAGTATCAGTATTAAATGGTAAGTGATTTGAAAATTATACTGACCAAATCACTGCAGGCTACTAAATATTCTACTCAGAATGTGGACATGTTTCATTTTAAACCATTCATACTTGTTCCCATTAGGAGTCTGCTATTCAAGAAAAGTATTTTTCATTAGAGAGAATTAATCCTCTTGACAAATTCCTCCTATACTTCAGGTACTTGGGCAATGCAATTTTTATTTCAACTAATCTTTTTTTATTGTAATTATTATGTCTAATAGATGAGGCTAGTCTCCTTTATTTCCTTTTACTCTAAGTTCCAGTGAATCTAGACATAAGTTCTGCAAGTGAATGTAAGAGATATTTTTCTATGTTATTTAATGTACTGAATTGTAATGCAAATATGAGAAATGTTACACATTTGTAACTGACTGTAAATAAAAATTGAGATTAAATGATAAAATCAAATAGCATTAAGATAACAAATACCTATGTAATCTATGAGCTTAACTTAATTTAGATTTTACTGATAAATTTGCATAATATTTGCTACATGTAAGAATGCTTTTTTAGTCTTAATTTTGTTCTTTTAAGAACCAGTATAATGTCCGAATAAGCTCAAAATGCCTTTACATTTTGCTCCTATTCTCTTGTTTATCCATCAGTCATTTAACTGTTTATCCTATAGTCAAAATTCTTTATCATTAAAGGATTCTTCTTATTTGTAGACAAAAATAATAATATACATCTCTAATACTTAGTCTGTTAGTCGTAAAAACCAAAACCCTTATTTAAAAAAAGCATATATACATGTGGCATCTAGGGGACTATTTCATTAAATATTTGAACCAAATTGATCATACTATTTAGCTTTATTGTACAGACAGAGACAATCTTAAAGCTAATATTGCATGGCATTTGTCTTGCTTACCTACTCTGTGCCAGATGTTTTACATATATTATTTATTTATTCCTCATGTAGTAAGTACAGTGTTATTATATACATTTATTAAGCTAAGTAAACAGCCTCAGATCTGTAAATTATCTTACCTTAATGCCACTAAAATTGGCAAAAGTTTAATTTAATTTTTTTCTGCCTGACATTATAGACCATGTTATATATATTTTTCTATTAAATATACATGCTAATATTGTGAAATATATGTGGTGTCTATGACAATGCACCTCACATACTTCCAGTTGATTAAGGACCCCATTACTGCACTCTGAAACCCACTGAAACATGGGTACCAAGGTCAAGCTTTCCAGTCTATGAATAAATACAGCAGAAATACCAAGGCAAACCCATTCCTAGGAAAAACAGAGCCTTTCTCATGGATTATCCTTGCTGGAACACTCCCCAATACCTTTGCTCAGTTTTTCTTAGACTGCATAGCAGTCTATGACACATCTACCCTATCTTCTCTCCCTCTCTTTTCTTCAGAGCCAGAGTTGCTTTCCATTCTTACTTATGGCTTGTGCACATGAATTTTTTCAAATTAAATGCTTGCACATCAAAAGACAAAAACAAAGACAAGCAAACAAACAAACAAAACAAATGACCAGCCATTTCTGTGAATTTTGTAAGGGTCCAGTGGTCAGAGGTATTTTGGAGTAATTCCTCCAGGTAAAAGACAAGTGCTACATTCTTATTACTCACCATAAAAAGAAACATAAGGCCTAATAGTCCATTCTGGATTCTGAATGCAACATTTTCTATATCTAAGATTATTTTTCTTGCCCATATGCCTGGTGAAATGAAAGATATGAATTTTGAGTAGGGCCTAAAGCAAGAAAAAACTTGTAGCAGGTTTAGTCACCCAAGGATCAGTTGCTTCGAACATGTAATCTAGCACATTTTCTCGTACTGGAGGTGTCAGGAGGGGAAAAACATGTAGTAGTATGAAGCTTACAATAAGCTTCAGTGAGTGAACCACAATGTATATCCCTGGGTTTCTTGAGAAATTCTATGCTATCAGTAGCAAAGTATAATATACTATTACACATCTTGGTGTACTATGGACTTTGGTAGGCTTAGAACATTTGATCATGAAAGACCAAGTGAGCATGGATCCGAGGATGACCATAATGTGATGGATTACATAAGATTCATGAAGTCTTAAAGTGTGATAGACATAACAAAAGTCTATCAAGACAAAATTAGTACACCCTGAATTTAGCACAAGCAGGACAAGACAGCCCAATTAAGCTCACAACCCCATGTCACTCACAATTACAATATTCCACTTCCATCTTACAGTCATGGCTGTATGAAGATGCAACTTTTTTTTACATCCAATTGAATGAATAGGAAAACTCAAAGACTTGGTTTAAAGATGGATCACCTCAGGAAATATGTGCAATACAAAAATGAACAGTGGCTGGATTACAGCTACATTCGAGAGTGGGCCTGAAGGATAGTGGAGAGGGAGGATCTTCCCAGTGGACAGATGTGTGAGGGTACATTTCATCATGCACATTATGTGCAAGGAAAAGTGGACTGAGGTGAGAATATATACAGAACCCTTGGCAGAAGTCAATGGCCTAGCTGTCTTGTTGGAGACCTGAGAGGAAAAGGACTGCAAAATCTGGATTAAAGAGTTCTGTGGTAGAGGCATGGAGATGGACATATGGGAGTGGCCACAAAGTATGGAAATTTTGCTATTGCACATTAATGCCCATCAAACAGCTTCACACAAAAGAGGCACTAAACATCCACAGGGAAAAAAATGACTCAGCCATTTTATATTAGCCATGTTTTGCCATTGGTCATCCTATAACTGGCATAATATGCAAATTAACAGAATGCCCATGATGACAGAGAGAGAGGCTGTGTATAGCTCTGAAAGCATGGACTCTTATTTTTAAGGCTGTTCTAGCTGCTGCCACCTCTGAATGCCCAATGTGTCAGCAATAAAGGTGATCACTTTACTTTGAATCTAGCATTGTACCTCTAGAGACCAATAGGCCACTTGATGGCAAGCTGAGTATAAAGAACTCTCCTGCCTAGAAAAGCTAACATTTTATCTTTATAATGCTAAATAACTGTTCTGTCTATTCTGCCTTTACTATCTGAAAAAGCTTGACAAGCACTCATATTTAAGGTCTTATGGGATACTTGATCCACAGTCATACAATCCCTCACAGGGTGGCATCTGACAAGGGAACCCACTTTGCAGTAAAGGAGATATAGGAATGGGCTCATGTCCATGGAGTCCACTAGTTGTGCTATGTACCACATTATCCAGAGTTTGCTGGCATTAAAGAATGCTAGAATTGCCTTCTGAAGGTACAACTAAAACATCGTCAAGTTAAACACTCTGAAAAAAATGGATTACTATATATCAGAATGCAGTATACTTGTAAAATTGGAGACCTCTATACGGTGCTGCGATTCCAAGAGGTTTGATACCTGGGTATGAAAAACAAGGGTTGGAAGAAAATATGTCCCAATTGCCATCACTCTCAATTACCCACTGAAGGATTCTGTGACTTTCTTCTCCACAACTTTGGACTTTTCTGGTGGGAAACCTTGGTCCCCAATGAGTATTCACTCTGGGTAGTGAACAATCAAGGGTCTCATTGAACTGTAAGTTACAACTACTACCAGGGTACATTGGATGTCTTGGGTCCAGGGACCAGAAGGCAAAAAGAGACCCATCACCATGGTAATCAATCCTGTCCAGAAGGAGGAGGTAAGGCTCTGTGTACATAGCAGTGTCAGGGAGAACAGCATGTGGAACTCTGGCGATCCACTTGTGTGTCTCCTGATATGACACCTTGTAATTGAAATAGATATGTGCAGCAACCCCAAAATGAGAAGGGTATAATTATCAAGGTGTCATAATTTTGCAGATGAAGGTTTTAATCATGCCATCAGATAACCCACCAAGACTTTCCGATATTATATCTTAGGGTGAAGGAACCTAGAATTTATATGTGAAATGAAGATATTAAGTAGCAGCTGTGGCCCAGAAATCAAGAGGACATATATTTCATTCCACTAACCTCCTTTTTCTGAGTTTCCCTTTAGGAAGAAAGGCTCCCATAAACCAAGAGAGAGCTGTTTTCTGAATACTGAGAAGTAGAGTTTTGCAATAGAAGGGATAGACCCCAGTGGCAATGACAGAGTGTCTTGTAGACCTCACCTGTAGGAAGAATAACTGACTGCATGCCCCAGCCTCTGCGTTCTGAACTACATCATCACATTTATTAAATTGTAGTAAAAAAAGTAAAATAAAATCTACCCACTTAACCAATTTTGAAGGGTAAAATACGATATTAAGGGTCTTCAAAAAGTTCATAGAAATATATATTATGAAAAAAGCTATGTATTAATTTGAAAAAATTGTACCTAAATATATATCACACTACCTTGTTATAACATGTCTGGACAGGATCGATTTTGAGGCACTGAGAGGGATAAGACATCAGTTTAAATACAGCCCCCATCAGGGCAACATGAATTTTGCTAAAACTGAAACTTCAACACACATCAAATATATGGTAAAGTTTGGGTGGAAGAATGGCTAAATTATTGATGATTTATGAAAAGTTTAGGGGATCAATTCCCCAAACAAATAAGCAGTTTATATATGAATAACCTATTTTAAGCAGGGGCAAGACAATGCTGAAGATGAAGCCCATAATTGCAGATCATTTGCATCAATATCTAAGAAAAAAGTCATCTTGTTCATGTTCTATTTGAAGAAGACTGATGATTAATGGCATAAACAATAGCCAACACTATACACATCTTAATCGATTCTATTTACACAGTTCTGACTCAAAAATTAAAGTTGAGCAAACCTTCTACTTGATGTGTGCCAAAACTTTTGCTCAAATCAGTTGCAGGCAGGGGCAGTGTTTGCAATGGAAATTCTAAATAAGTGGAATTTTTTTGAGGAATTGTAACAGGAGATGAAAGATGGCTTTACCAGTATAATCCTGAAAACAAAGCACCATCACAGTAATGGCTACCAATGGGTGGATGTGGCCCAGTCAAAGCAAAAGTGCACCAGTCAAGAACAGAGGTTGTGGCAAAGGATTTTTGAGATACTCAAAGCATTTGGCTTGTTCACTTTCTAGAGGGCCAGAGAATGATAACATCGGCTTATGAATGGAGTGTTTTAGAAAGTTAACCAAAGCTTTAGCAGAAAAATGCCTGGGAAAGTTTCACCAGAGTCTATCTGCACCATGACAATGTTCCTACTCATTCCTCTCATTAAACACGGGAAATTTTGCAAGACTTTCAATGGGAAATTATTAATCATCCACCTTTCATGCTTGATTTGGTTCCTTCTGATTTCTTTTTGTTTCCTAATCTTAGTAAATCTGTAAAGGCACACTTTTGCCTTCAGTTCACAATGTAAAAAATATTGAATTAACATTGTTAAATTCCCAGGACCCTCAGTTCTTTAGGGATGAACTCTATGGCTGGCATCATCACTTACAAAAGTGTCCTAAACTTGACAGAGCTTACGTTGAAAAACAAAGCGTATATTATTTATTTTTATATTTTAATTCCATTTTTCTATGAATAATTAAAAGTCTCCTTGTATTGTTAACTATATGCTCATTGTGGCATTATTTACAATAGCCAAGAGGTAGAAACAATGTAAATATTGATGGATGACTAATGAAGAAAATATGATACCTCACATACAACGGAATATTATTCAGCCTTTAAACTGGAAATCCTATTGTTTATAATAATATGAATGAACCTGGAAGACATTATGCTAAATAAAATATACCAGTTTCAGAAAGACAAATACTGTATGATTCCACATATGTGAGGTATCTGAAGAAGTGAAATTCACAGAAGCAAAAAATAGAATTTAGGTTTGCAGAGTTTGTCTGTTGGGGGAGAATGTGGAGTTGTTCAATGAGTGTAAAGAGGCAGTTAGACAAAATGAGTACTTTCTAGAGATATGCTATACAATATAGTGCCTGCAGTTTAAACCACAGTAGTGTGCACTTAAAGATGTGTTAAGAGCAGAGACCTCATGTTAAGTCTTCTTTACAGACACACACGTGCACACAGGAAACTTGGTGGTGACATTTATAGACTTGATTGTGGTGATACTATTACAGTTATATGCATATGTTGAAAGTCATCAAACTGTATATATTAAACATGTATAGGGTGCTTTGGTATATCCATTTTACCTCAATAAAGCAGTTGAAAAGAAAAGAAAGATTAAGCATTAAAACGTTAGTTATACTAAAAAGGGAAATATCCTATTACATAATGCTGATTAAAATGGTTATAATGGATTAAGCAAGGTAACTAGAAAAATTTGAAAATACAACTTAATTTTTAAAACATTGCAGATTAATGTAAATTGTGTTTGCGAAAAAATAACAGCGGGTTAAAATGTTATTAAATATTCCACATGAAAACTCTATGAAAACAGTGATTTAAAATGTCTAAAATTCTTAAGTAGACAATTAAAGGAATTGACACTGTAATACTGATGTTTGAATATGAAGAACCAATTCACTCACTAATAAAAATTCAAGAAATAATTGAAAAGTAAACAGACAACTTTTTGAAAATAATTCATTTATAAACTTTCATTCCTGGCTAGCATGCAGTGAGATAGACACATAATAATTATCAGATTGTACTTTCTTATTCGTATTGTTAGGAATTTATCAAGAACTGTAGCATATCCATAACCTTTGACTCATCTATTCGTTTCATAAAATCACTTAAATATTAATCAAAATATTTATCCAGATTTGTATACACAGGTATAAAAGTCTATAATACTATGTATAATATTAGTAACTATATTAGTAACATCCATCAGGACAGATGTAGTTGTACTAATTACAAAGAAATTGTCAAGTATATAGTTCATACTGAACTGCAAGATCCATGAGGCCTTCAACCCTGCTAATTCACTATAGAACTCTAGAACCTAACACAGTGCCTGAAAAATTGTAAGCAATCAATAAATAATTATGGGGTAAATTTATACATTGTAAATGACTGTTTAAATGAACATGACATATTATAAATTAAAAGAAATGATAGGAAAACTGTATAAACTATGACTATGTTTAACCACATAAATATATAAATGATATGTAGTATTAACTAAAAGTAATTTCTTCAAAGTTAATATTTATATTCTAATACTTATATTTTAATATACAGATTTTCTTTTCTTTGATAGTTTCCTTTGTACTAGTCAGAGTCTCTCTTTTCAACTAAATTGTGTTATCTAAAGTAGGAAAATTAATTATTTGAAAGGAATAAGTAATACGCTGAATTAAAGAGAAAGCTCAAGAAACAGCCTTTGGCAGAAAATAAGGAACAAAGAAACAGCCTGCTTAAAACACCAACACTGCTTCCTTTTGCCAATGACAGAAACTTCCTTACATGTGCCCACAAAAAATTTAAGGCATCCAAGATCCCAAATATAATTGTTCCCAACACCAAGGCCTGTTCATGGCATGGTTTGAAATCCACCGCACTGATATTCTTTGTGTATTAGTAAGCAAGAGTTGCTAAAAACAATCAGACAGACAAACACACACACACAAAACCCCACAGACGTGGGAGGCTTAAACAACAGAAATTTTATTTTTTTTACAGCTCTAGAGGCTAGAAACCCAAGATTAAGTTGTTTGCAGGTTTGTCTTCTCCTGAAGCCTCTCTCCTTGGCTTGCTGATGGCCTTCTCTGCTTGTCCCCACGTGGCCTTATCTCTGTGCAAGCACATCCCTGACATCTTTCTTTCTTCTTGTTAAGTACACCAGTCATAGTGGATTAGGGTCCCATTCTGATGACCTCATTTACCCTTAATTACTTCCTTCAGGATTTTATTTCCAAATACAGTTATATGGGGCTTAGGCCTTCAACATAGGAATTTTAAGAGGGAAACAATTCAGTCCATAACAGCCTCCAACTTCTACTTTGTGAAATTCCATATATATTTACAGTTATTATTTGCTTCGCACCATCAAATCTATGTGAAATTGGACTTCTTAAAGCCTTTCATCTAAATTTTCTTTTATACTTAGTATTCAAAATGTATAAAAAGATTTTACCTATCCATAGTTTCAAACTTGAACTTTTAGTTTTTTATATGTGACTCATTCTGCTTTCTCAGCAATGACTTAATATTGTACATTATTTTTGGAGACCCTGAAATTTTATTTGCCTTTAATATGGTACATTTGCACAATATATTATTTAATACTTAAAAAAGTCTAAGAGTAGGCGCGGCGGCTCACGCCTGTAATCCCAGCACTTTGGGAAGCCGAGTCGGGCGGATCACGAGGTCAGGAGATGGAGACCATCCTGGATAACACGGTGAAACACAGTCTCTACTAAAAATACAAAAAATTAGCCGGGCGTGGTGGCGGGAGCCTGTAGTCCCAGCTACTCTGGAGGCTGAGGCAGGAGAATGGCGTGAACCCGGGAGGCGGAACTTGCAGTGAGCCGAGATTACGCCACTGCACTCCAGCCTGGGAGAGAGAGCGAGACTACGTCTCAAAAAAAAAAAAAAGTCTAAGAGTAAGACAAAATATAATATCGATTGTTTGTTAGTATTGTCTTCTACAATATAACAATTTATATCAAGATATCTGATTCGATTTGCCTCCTGTTTTAACTCTTTCTTGAAACATTGATGCTTTGTGAATACATTCACTATAGAGGGGAAAAATAAATATCTACAAGATTTGAGTAGACATTAGAAAAGAAGTGTTATTCTGTGATTTCATTTACTATTATGTGCAGAATAAAATGTAAAAAAGTTAAATGATGTTTGAAAATATTGGAAAAAATCAATTTTCAATATATCATTGCACTTAAGGATGAGATATATAAATGAGGGAAAAGCTAAGGAAATGATCATAGTCTAATAATGGCTCCAAATTCATGTTGGGCTGTGTAGCCATTAAAATTCAGAAATATAGGCCATTGTTTTACCACATTATCAGAACAAAACTTTCTCAGGGTGATTTAATATGCCAAGTTCCAGCCTGATGAACACAGAATATCATGCTACTATGCTCTTGATTTCTTTTATCTCTTTAGAGCAGCTACATAGATCCATAATAAAAAGTGTTATTAGATAGACAGATAGATGATAGATAAGGAGTGAGACTGGGGTGAATTTTTTTTAAGCAGTATTTTTGAATAGGTGAGCGCTCCAAAAAGGCAGAGGTTACCACTAAACTGCAGAAAACTGTCAAGGGACGGCGTATTTCCTGAGAAATTCTGCAAGAGCAGCATAGCAATTTTGATGTGCAAAGCTGCATTTTAATAGCCAATTGCAATGGTTATTAAAATACCACATTACACATTATCATTACAGCTATAATGAAGACTGCTGATGACAGCTCCTCAAATGAAGGCCATCGCTATTCAGTTAGCAACACTTTTTGTTTGCCTCAGTGTCCCTTTGATAACCTGTAAGAGTAATCAAAAGAACCGCTAAATTAATCCCTCAAAAAAAGTATATGCTCTTCCTTCTACTCTATCCCATGTCCTGCCTCTACCCAATATCCTAATAAAAAAACAAAGCCCTTATAAATGAGCAAAATACAAAAGAAAATGGAAATGCACAATTTTTTTAATGTTTATGTGATAACTATTATAAGGATGTTGAAAAATTATAAATCTTAAGCAAGAAATTTATACAACTGTTAGTCAGGCAGTGCTTTCTTTTTCTTTGTTAGGCAAAAGAGAACAGAGACCATAGAGAATGAGAGCATTTAAAGCCATGATGGAAACAAATTGGAGCTTTAGAATTTTTTAAAGTAGGCTAGCTGCTAAATAGGAGCTAGAAATTCTGGTAGGCGTAGTCAGAGAAAATGAATTGAAAATGAAAAAAATATATATATAACAAAATGGAGAAGAATGTTTTTCAATGGAGAATCTGAAAGTCCCAAATCAATCAGATTTGACATATGATGTTAAAACACTTACTATGTGACCAGGTAGATAGGTATTCATCCTACAGAAATAAAAAATTATGTCCACACAATAGTGGCATAAGTGATTCTTCATGATCACAGTAAACTGAATATGACACAAAAGTCCTTTACCAGCTGAATGGATAAACAAACTCTAGTTTTAAACCACTACACTGGGATAATGCCCAGCAATCAAAAGGAACAAATTATATATTGACAAACTCAGTATAACAGATGAATTTCAAAAGTATTTTGCTGAATAAAATCAACAAGTCTCAAAGTGTTACATTGTTTATGATCCCCTTTATGTGCTACACAGGGAAAGGAAAAGCCACAGGAATGGAGATCAGTGGATGTGAGGAATTATATACAAAGGAAAAACAGTACAAATTTTTTAGGTGAATAAACAGTTCCACATCCTGATTGTAATAGTCATTAAACAAACCTGTACATATATTAAAACTCATAGATAAACTAAAATCAGTCTAATTTAATGCATGTAATTAAAAAAAATCAGAGACAAAAATGCACTGAAAAACTTAAGGAAAATAGAAGGGAGAGAGACAGTGAAGAAGAGAAGGAAAAGAAGAAAGAAGAAATAATTATTTCTGCATTCTAACTTGGAAAAATTGTGGAAATTCCTTTTTTAATTATTCCTGAGAAAATTTCTAAGAAAATGGACATCAATTTGTTTTGCTTACAATATCTTATTGTTAAAATAATTCAGTTACCTAGATAAGGTTACAACAAAATCTGTTTCTGCTGTTTGTATTTGATGTGTTATAATAAAGTATCAGCTATTAATTCTAACTAGAGTTTTTCATTTTATAAAAGTAGTTTAAAATAGAGACTTTGACATATATTGTAAGCATTATAACAAATATATATTTAAAATTATATTGATTAAAAATTGCATGCACTTTTTATTATTAAAATTAATTTCATTATATTATTTTATTTTATTCTCATGAAATCACAATTTTGATGGATAAATCAGTTATCTATATTTGACATTTAAGAGTTACAACATTATATTGAGTGTTGATGTAAAATAGCAATTGAGCATTGAGGCTTAAGAGACAGAAAACCTCAGCGGGAAAGCCCCCTCTGCCCTTATACTATGGGGTATTAACCAAAATATGTAAATTTTTAAAGGCTTAGCTGCTTTATTATATAATATGAATTACAATAATATGAATGAACTTTTTATAAGTTTAAAATTAGTACCATATGTAAATTAGCATGGTACTTGGCACACATAAATTCAAAATTAATATTAAATTTTATTGTTATAGTTATTACTATTATGATTATTTGCAAATATATCGTTCAATTAACTGTAAAATGTGAACAAATCTTGTAACATTTTAAAATTGGCACTTGTTCATACCACCAACAATGAAATACGTTCAATATTCTTCTATAGTTAAGTATTCATTTTATGTGTTTGAAAATTATGTGTATTTTACTATTTTTATGTGAATAATGCTTTCAGAGTAATTACTCTAAAAACTACAGTTCATTATAGACAACATGTGCATGAGCTTCATATTTTTTTTATTTAAAAAATAATTTTATTGTTATTGATTTGGAAATGTAAGCATTGATGTTTCTTTCTGTACCACTAGAGGCCATCATATGCTTTCTTAAACAAATAAGTGCATATGCAAGTAAAATCTTAATTTGAAAGGCACTTATAACTAGTCTAGAAAAATTCACATGTTATATAATAGAGTAGACACCATATGGAGTCTGGGTGGTTTGCTCTCCTTTACCGGATTATTCAACATACTAGGATAGATTGGTAGCTATAACTGAAGGCAACTTGATTTTCTAGTAGTTACCCTTGTTATAGCAAATACAAATAAATAAATAAAAGTAAAAATAAGATGTATTTCCAAGTTCACCAAAGATTTTGTCATGTAAATTATTTTGTTGCTTTCTTTGTAATATATTGAAGGGTAAGATGCCAATCAAGGAAATGAAAAACATTACATTCCTGAAGTATATTAGACATTTATAACGTGAAGTAAGATAACCACAAATTGACGGCATTTATTTTTCTTAGGAACAACTGTGCGAGCTATATTTAAAGAAATACATAATAATTTCATGCATATGTAAAAAAAAGAAGTAGAAAACACTGAAATAATTCCAAAAGTTAGCATGTGGCTTTATCATAAAACTTCCATCTTATTTTTAATTTTAGTGAACCTAGCTTTTTATGGTTTGCGTAGTAGTCCCCCAAGCTGTTCTTCTGCAGTTGGAGTACAAAATCAAAGAGTTTTGGCTATTATGTCTTTATCATTCAGTGACCTTCACAAGCTAATCTAAAAGGTGTTTACATAAATTAATTATTACTATGATTTACATTGTAGATTTATATCATGATGATACATATTTCCATACACAGTAATGGAAAAATAACTTCATTAAAGCAATATCCATTATATTAGAATGCAAATGGAGCATATTTGAAGATTAGGTATGAGAAACTCTAAAATAACACTTGCAATAATTAAGACTATACTTCAAAGATTATTTAAAATATTGTTTGCCAAAGCATGAAATATCATTTGAAATTGTGCTATTATTTTTAGAAATTAATGAGCAGAGGTATATCACAATGACCCAGATTAAATGATACAGAAAATTTAATCTCCACCATAATAATTTTACATACCATTGTATATAGAACCACTAATGTGAAATATCATTACAGCCCTCTTAGATAATTATAGGAGAAGTAGGAGCTTTTCAGAGCGCTAAAGACTTGCTCTTTAGGAGCTTCTGCACAGCAAAAGAAACTACCATCAGAGTGAACAGGCAACCTATAAAATGGGAGAAAATTTTCGCAACCTACTCATCTGACAAAGGGCTAATATCCAGAATCTACAATGAACTCAAACAAATTTACAAGAAAAAAACAACCCCATCAAAAAGTGGGCAAAGGACATGAGCAGACACTTCTTAAAAGAAGACATTTATGCAGCCAAAAAACACATGAAAAAATGCTCACCATCACTGGCCATCAGAGAAATGCAAATCAAAACCGCAGTGAGATACCATCTCACACCAGTTAGAATGGCAATCATTAAAAAGTCAGGAAACAACAGGTGCTGGAGAGGATGTGGAGAAATTGGAACACTTTTACACTGTTGGTGGGACTGTAAACTAGTTCAACCATTGTGGAAGTCAGTGTGGTGATTCCTCAGGGATCTAGAACTAGAAATACCATTTGACCCAGCCATCCCATCACTGGGTATATACCCAAAGGACTCTAAATCATGCTGCTATAAAGACACATGCACACGTATGTTTATTGC
The DNA here is from genome assembly GCF_000001405.40 of Homo sapiens. NCBI lineage: Eukaryota > Metazoa > Chordata > Mammalia > Primates > Hominidae > Homo > Homo sapiens. Next base: position 135,716,553 of record NC_000004.12, on the reverse strand, counting down.
GGCACTATTCACAATAGCAAAGACTTGGAATCAACCCAAATGTCCAACAATGATAGACTGGATTAAGCAAATGTGGCACATATACACCATGGAATACTATGCAGCCATAAAAAAGGATGAGTTCATGTCCTTTGTAGGGACATGGATGAAATTGGAAATCATCATTCTCAGTAAACTATTGCAAGAACAAAAAACCAAACACTGCATATTCTCACTCACAGGTGGGAATTGAACAATGAGAACACATGGACACAGGAAGGGGAACATCACACTCTGGGGACTGTTGTGGGGTTGGGGGAGGGATAGCATTAGGAGATATACCTAATGCTAAATGACGAGTTAACGGGTGCAGCACACCAGCATGGCACATGTATACATATGTAACTAACCTGCACATTGTGCACATGTACCCTAAAACTTAAAGTATAATAATAATAAAAAAAAGACTTGCTCTTTAGTTCAGGAAATAGAAGCAAACCTTTTAGTAGCAAAAGCTGAATCACATGTTCTTGGGGTACATCACTTATTCAAGAAGCCGTATCTGTGCTAATGGGGAAAGGTCTTGTAGGTTATTTTACAACCCAAAGTAATGACAGTAATGTATGTTATTTTATTAGCTGGTAGATAAATCTTCTAAATGTAATCATGCATGTTTATAATGGTGGTAAGAATTGTTCATTAAAACCTAACAAATATAATATTTTTTGAATTTATTGAATTTGGTAATATACCTAAATCCTATAAATTATTTCAGAGAATTTTGTTTCAATTTTTTAATCCAATATAAGAATATAGCCAAATTAGGCTCAAATTGTTTTTACAATCAATCAAGAAAACTATTGCTCCTTTATGGCTTAACCTCATATTTAAAATAGTAGCATTGAATAATAAAAACAAATCCATGATAGTTTTGAATAATAATGTAAAATCAGTGGTAGATTTAAGATAGCTTAAACAACTATCAGCTTTTTATATCATTATGCAATAGTCTTTATTATGCAAATCTATATTTTATCTAAGTAAATTAATATATGTAGATCAATATATGTAAAATATTGTAGTTAAGACTTATTTAATTTTAAAATATAATTTAAATATAATACAATAAATTTAGTATTGAGCATACTAATTATAAGATACTAACGAAAGGTATACTAACAGAAAATAGTTTTTGACAGGCAAAAGTTTTGGAAAAGTGTTTAAAAATTATATAAAAATTTTAATTAAATAAAGCTATAGATTCAGCACAAAAAAAGACCCTCACGTATATACTTAGAAGCATACTTAACACCACTAAGAACTAGCACTTGACCCAAGATATAAACAGGAGAGCCATATTTTAAAACATTAAAACAGAATCTTTGCATTAGCTCATTTGTTTCTGGTTTTTTGTCCTGCTGAAATTCATCTAAAAGGACTGATAATGCTTCAAAATTGTCTGATCTATTTAATCTCATTAAATCTCTATACTGTGAATAAGAATTTAATGTTCTCACCTCGTTTTTTTAGTTTTAACATATATAAATAAATATCCCAGTTATGATTTAATATTTATAACTGAAGATACAGTCTATGTGCATACACTTATAAACTAGTAACTAAGGTATCTATCTGACCAAGATATATTTACATTTCTTTCACATGATGAATAAATTTCAGAAATATGAACATTTGTTTAGGTATACGGGCGCCAGCATAGCTTTAAAAATTTTAATCACTAGAGGCCGGGTGCGGTGGCTCATGCCTGTAATCCCAGCACTTTGGGAGGCCGAGGTGGGCGGATCACGAGGCCAGGAGATCAAGACAGTCCTGGCTAACACGGTGAAACCCCGTCTCTACTAAAAAAATAGCCGGGCGTGGTGGTGAGCGCCTGTAGTCCCAGCTACTCAGGTGCCTGAGGCAGGAGAATGGCGTGAAACCGGGAGGCAGAGCTTGCAGGGAGCCGAGATCGTGCCACTGCACTCCAGCCTGGGCGACAGAGCGAGACTCCGTCTCAAAAAAAAAAAAATAAATAAAAATAATCGCTAGAATTACTCTACTTTTTTTATTCCAAAATGAATTTGAGAGAAACAAATTGAGTGAGAAAAAAAGGAGGAAATAAAGAAGGAAAATTAGGCTGGACACAGTGGCTCACAACTGTAATTCCAGCACTTTTGGAGTGCCAAGGTCAGCAAGGACAAGGTGTGCAGATCACTTGAGGCCAGGAGTTCAAGAGAAACCTAGCCAACATGGAGAAACTCCATCTTTACTAAAAATACAAAAATTAGCCTGGCATGGTGGCAAATGCCTGAAATCCCAGCTACTTGGGAGGCTGAGGCATGAGAATCTTATTTTCTTTTTTTTTTTTTTTTGAGACGGAGTCTCACTCTCGCCCAGGCTGGAGTGCAGTGGTGCCATCTCGGCTCACTGCAACCTCCGCCTCCCGGGTTCATGCGATTCTCCTGCCTCAGCCTCCCAAGTAGCTGGGACTACAGGCGCCCACCACCATGCCCGGCTGTTTTGTGTTTTTAATATAGACGGGGTTTCACCGTGTTAGCCAGGATGGTCTCCATCTCTTCACCTCGTGATCCGCCCGCCTCGGCCTCCCAAAGTGCTGCGATTAGAGGCATGAGCCACCGCGCCAGGCAGGCATGAAAATCTTTTGAACCTGGAAGGTAGCGGTTGCAGTGAGTCCAGATCATGCCACTGCACTTCAACCTGGGCAACAGAGCAAGACTGTGTGTCAAACCAAAAAAAAAAAAAAAGGAAGGGAAGGGGAAGGGGAAAGGAGGGAAAGGGAAAGGGAGAGAGAGAGAGAGAGTGGGAGGGAGGGATGGAGGGAGGAAGGAAGGAAAGAAGGAAGGAAGGAAAGAACGAAGGAAGGGAGGGAGGGAGTGTGGGTCAGATATAAATTATTTTATCTGCGTTCACCATTTAGGCATTTTTTTTCATTTTGCTGTATTTTTCAACACTTTAATTTTTAGATGATTATTAAACAAAGTAAAACATAATTCTAGGAAGTTGCATGTGATAATATGATGTATTTATGTTTAGGTAATTACTATTTCCAGTGAATTTTAATTTGAGTTGCAAAAATATTTCTTCTAGTGTCACATTGCTAAATACTATAAAACAAACTGGTCTTGGTTAATAAAATCTAAACTTTATCCTTTACTTCCATTAAAATATTAACCAAGTATTATATAGTGTGGTATAAAATAAGGGTGGTCTTTCTTATTTAAGATCTTTGATTTAGAATAGACATTTCCTAAATTAAGGTAGTTTCTTTATAAATCTATATATGCAGATTTTTAAAATACCATCTATAAGGGCACAGTCCTAGCTTTTTAAAAATACCATCTATAAGGGACAGTCCTAACTTTATATTTTACTTATGAAAACTCTATGGATACATATAATCTTTGAAGATTTAAAAATAATACTGTGCATGTTGTAATATTAAAGGGAATTTTAATCTTGGAAAATGGGATATCTTCTTCTATGTGTCAGCACTTTCTCCTCCACTTTATTTTTTATACTGTGGTCTTTAGTTTTCCTGCTAAATAATCTAAATCATCTTAATGGGCATTCTCCTTGGGAAACTAACAGCTAAGACTTTCAACAACCTAATCAAACCAGACCAAAAAAAAGTAATGACAATACATCTGGGATTAAAGAAACAAGAGAAAAAAGTATATTTAATCAAGTATTTCAATGAAAAAAATTATATCAATCAAAATAAAATACTTAAAATTTTAAAAACCAGAAAAGAGAGGATGACTCTTGTCTATATGAATTGCCAGGTTACTAAATACAGAAGCTGACTCACTAAATCAAGTCAGCGAATAAATATTCATTGCACCTAACATTTGAGTCACTGATATTTTCAATGAGATTTGTTCATAAAATTATTTTATCTTTTGTTATTTTGTGCAATATGGATAGTATCTCTTCATGTGTCCCTTTATTATGGAGTAAGCAGGTGTAAATATTTTGCTCTGCCAGCTTTGTGTGTTCAGAGAAATATTTTAACTACTGACCTATGTGATCAAGGTACCTATGGAACTCTTATGTATTAGCCTGTTCTCATGTCACCATGAATAATTACCACAGACTGGATAATTTATGAAGAAAAAGTCCTCAGGAAACTGAAGTCCTTCAATCATAGTTGAAGGCTTCTCTTCACAGGGAGCCAGAAGAGAGAATGCATGCAGCCAGGGAAGTTCCAGATGCTTATAAAACCATCAGATTTCATGAGACTCATTCATTATAATGAGAAAAATGCCGGGGAAGGACCCCATGATCTAATCACCTACCATGAGGTCCCTTTCCCAGTAAATTGGGAATACAATTTAAGATAAGATTTGGGTGGGGACACAGAGCCAGACCATAACATTCAGCCCCTGACCACTCCCAAATCTTATATTCCTCATATTTTAAAACACAATTATGCTTAGGTATTTCCATAGATCCTCTGAAATCTAGGTGGAGGTTTCCTAACCTCAATTATTGAATTTTGTGCATTTGAAGACCCAACACCATGTGGAAGCTGCCAAAGCTTGGGGCTTGCACCCTGTGAAGCAACTGCTCAAGCTGTACCTTGGCCCCTTTTAGACACAGCTGGAACTGAAGCAGCTGGGCCATAGGGCACCATGTCCCAAAACTGCAAAGAGCAGGGGGAACCCTGGGCTCAGCCCATGAAACCGTTTTTCCCTCCTAGGCCTTTGGGCCTACGTTGGAAGGGGCTGACATGAATGTCTCTGACATGCCCTGAAGACATTTTGCTCATTGTCCTGGTGGATAACAGTCAGCTCCCCATTATTTATGCAAATTTCTGCAGCCAGCTTGAATTTCTCCTAAGAAAATGTGTATTTCTTTCCTACCTCATGGTTAAGCTGTAAATTTTTCAAACTTTTATGCTCTGCTTCCTCTTGAATGCTTTGCTGCTATTTCTATTTCTTACATCAGGTATCCTAAATCATCTCTCTCAAGTTCAAAGTTCAACAGATCTCTAGTGCAGGGGCAAAATGCTGCTGGTCTCTTTGCTGAAACTTAACCAGAATCATATTTATTCCAGTTTCTAACAAACAAGTTCCTTATCTCCATCTGAGACCACCTCAGCCTGGATTTCCTTATCCCTATCACTATCAGCAATTTGATCAAAACCACTTAACAAGTCTCTAGGAAGTTCCAAACTTTCCCACACTTTCCTGCCTTCTTCTGAGCCCTCCAAACTGTTCCAACCTCTTTCTGTTACTGAGTTCCAAAATTGCTTCTACATTTTTGGGTATCTTTACAGCAGCACCCCACTCTTGGTACCAATTTACTGTGTTAGTCCATTCTCACACTGCTATGAGGAACTACCCAAGACTAGGTAATTTATTTTTTTAAAAAAGAGTTTTAATTGACTTACAGTTCAGCATGGCTGGGGAGGCCTCAGGAAACATGCAATCATGGTGGAATGCATCTCTTCAGAGGGCAGCAGGAGGGAGAATGAGTGCAAGCAGGGGAAATGCCAGACATTTATAAAACCAACAGAGCTTGTGAGACTCATTCATCATCATGAGAAAAGTATGGGGGGACTGCTCCCATAATCTAATCACCTCACACGAAGTCCCTTTCCCAAAAGATGGTGAATACAATTCAGATTACAATTCAAAATGAGATTTGGTGCAAATATTTTGCTCTGCAAGCTTGTGTGTTTAGAGAAATAGTATAACTACTGACCTATGTGATCAAGGTACTTATGGAACTCTCATATTTTTTCTATGAGTCAGGATGCAAATTAATTGTTAATTTCTGGGAGTCTCTGCCCTTTCCACACCAACCTTGTTAGCTCTATGCAAAGACTGGATGAATTGTTTACTTGGAACCCAGCTTTTGAGAAAAATTTCATATAATTTTTTCCCTTAATATTACAATATGTCTGATTTGTATCAGGTGGCTTGTCTAAAATGTAATACAAAAGTCAAAAGTAGCATTAGTTAATTAAAGATATCTGATAGCAAAGGCCCTGATTTTTCCCACTATCTTCAGCCATTTATTTAACTTTGTGGAGGCAATTTTAAATATTACTCTCAGTTGGGTAGTCAAATCAGAGCTTAAGATAGATGATACTTTTCATGATATTTCTGTGTTTTCTAATCTAGTCAGGTATAACTCCAGATGGAAAAAGAAATGACCTAGTCACCATCTGCTGCCAGAGCCTTGTCATTCATTGTCTCAGTGGCAGAGTGGTCTATGCTCTTTTATGGATTTGTGTAAATGACAGCAAACTAACACTTTGAAAATTAATTAACAAGAACATATGGAAGTGGGTGTCAGTTTCATAACATACAAAATGGTTCAGTTTTATAAAATCCTTCATCCAAATATTTCTTTTCATGCAGATAGTCATCTAAAATCATTTGGAAACTTGAAGGAAAGTATGCGTTAGTGATTCTGACTTACTAATTATGATAGAGGATAATAAATCTACATGAAATTATTTTATATCTTAGAAATTATATAGGAAATTATAAGACAAAAGATTTCATCTTGAATTACTTGATTTCCTTCCGATTTTTACACTAATCCTTTTTTTCATGGCACACAACATAGATTAAACATTTGTTTTGTTTCTTCTCAATTAAGCAAAACTGTTAGACTTAATAAAGTGAAGCAATTTATATTAGTGAAATCACCGTGAGATATTTTTACAGCTACATGATTCCAAATACATTCATGCTTTGCTTAACAATGGCGATACATACTAAGCAATGTGTTGTGATATGATTTCATCATATGTGAACATTATTTGGTGTACATACACAAATCTAGATAGTAGAGCTTACTACACATGAAGGTTATATGGTTTAGCCTATGCTCTTAGGCTACAAACCTGTACAGAATGTGACTGTACTGAATCCCTAGGCAATTATAACACAATGGCAACGGTGCATCTAAGCATATTTAAACATGGGCAAGGTAATGTGTTGCACTCTCATGCTATGACAACTGCAATGTCACTAGGCAATAGGAATATTTCAGCTCCATTATAATCTTATAGGACCACCGTGTTTCTGTGTTCTGGCCCATCAACCAAAATGTCATTATGAAGCACAATATGTAACTTATTTGATTATATTTTTATTTTGGCTGGATATTTATTACTAAAATTGGTAAATCCATAAAAGAAAGCATTGATTAAAGTTATAAAATTATTCCACCTGTATTACAGTTTGATCTAAAGTCACCCACCAACCTTCCTTTGAGCACATCATGGAACTTATTAACATTCTACCTTTGAATGAATCTAAGCTGTCCCTAAGATGATCTATAGCAAGCTTTATGGCAGGAATTGCACTAACACAAAATTATTTTCAGAGAGATTTTAATGTATTTGCAGCTCAAATATTATATTTTAAATGAGAGATTAATAAAATATTTATTTTTAAGATATATTTACTAGCTTCCTTTAAATATCTGTGTGGTAATGAAAATATATTCTTTTAACGTTTTTGTTAAAAAATATATTTTTAAGTAACTGTTTTATAATAGAAATAACATATTTTAACGGTGACATCAGAAAATGTGTTGTTCTCTTTACCAAATTGTAAACTCTTTATTTTTTCATAAATTACTATAAAACATAAATAGAAACATTTAGAAATACTATTTTATGAAGCCTGATTATTGTATAGATACCAAAATCTACATAAAGAATATGCATAGAAATCTATGACTTGTGCAACATGTGCAAAATGATCAATTTTTGACTGATGTTGTTCTCATATTCCCTTCAGTAATAGTGCATTTCCGCAACCACAATTGATATTATCACATACATATTTTGCTTCCATCTTTCTTGAAATAGTTGATGCTTAAAAATAAAACTGTGCTTGTTTTAGATTCCTTTCATGTTTTTGTGTGCTTTATGTGTCTCACATTATTAACTGCATTTTGTTAGAGCAATAATATCCACAGTATTTATTAATACTATTTCAAATTTTCCCGGTGTTATGAGTGTATTAGTCAGCTCGGGATGCTGTAAGAGACTACAATAGACAAGGTGGCTTACAAAACAGAAATTTATTTTCTCACAGTTCTGGAAGCTCAAGGTGCCAGCACAGTGTGTTTCTAATGAGGGCGCTTTTCCTGTCTTGCAGAGAGCCATCTTTTCGCTGGGTTTTCACATGGCCTGTCTTCAGTGTGAGTGTGTTCTTGAGAGAGAGAGGGGGCTCTCTGGTGTTTCCTCTTAGAAAGACACGAATTCTATAGCATCAGAGCCCTGTCCTTATTTAACTTTAGTTGATTCTTATTCCAAATAGAGCTACACTGAGAGTTAGGATTTCAACATTTGAATTTTGAGGGAACATACACATTCAATCCATAACATTGTAGAAAATTTTCAGTTATAACATTTTTTCTCAACTTTTTTAACTGTAGTCACTAGAACTATTGTTGTGCAAGAGTTGCGTCTCTTGTGAAATAAGAAATATTTCCAAAGTCATTGAATTTAAATTTCAAGTTTGAAGACAGTCCCAAACCTGTAGACTGTGTTTTATGGATTAGAATTGGTTTGGTGGTTTCTTCAGTTCCACCTGAAATTTGGTAACTACAAAAGCAAATACAAAATATGAGGAAAGACATTTTTTGTAGGAAATAGATACCACCTCATTGCCAGCAGTTACCAAAACTGTGATTAATTTCAAATTATTTAACCTAAGCATTTTTGTTGAGCGTGCTATGTTGTATGTACAACAGTACTATTATTTCACATACGTTATGTACATATTTCTCATTTTATTAAAAAAAGAATATAACTATTGCTAACTTACTGGCTGAAATATAGCTATTTGGAACTCATTTCACATATCCAAAAGAAACTCTCCAAAAACAGTTTAATTCTTGGCTAAGTGACACAGGGAGCCTTTGTCATAGGCCCAGTACATAAACATTTCCTGTGAGAAAGAAGATGTATAAAACAGTATGGAAATACAGGTTTTAATGTTAAGAGCATATATTATTGAAGACATTTTCCAAGAAGAGTATTTTAAAAAGATGATGGGACAAAGCTATTGCAGGGGAAAGTCACTTGAAATTCTAAAGCTGTGATAACAAGCCCTGGAGGAATTCATTTGTCCTAGAGTGAGCATATATGCAGAGACTTGGAGAGCTTATAATTTCAGCAGGCAGTCAGATAATACATACATCACTCTACATTTGAGATGCATGCAGCTACTTCTTTCCCAGTCTCTTGTCTCAAATCTAAAACCTTCCTATTTATGCCTGGAGCTCATGGTATCCAATCTCGAATCCCATAAAACTACCCTAAATGAAGGACCAAAACACCCCAAAGAATATACACACCACCAGAGTAGAAATAGTTAAAAAATCATTGTATTTTTGTTGCTGTTATCTGATTTATTTCAACATTTTTTTTCTGGTAGCAGGTATTTTAGAAAGGAAATTACAAGAAAATATACCAGTTTTTACTATATTTCACTCTCTCCACTCATATCTCCTCCAAAAGTTTTGATTAACCAAGTATTTCTGCTGTGTACTTTAAACTCTTTTTAAAAATTAACTTAATTGTTTAATATAATTTTAGATTAACAGACAGTTTAACATATAGTACAGAGTGTTTCCATCTATTCCACACTCAGTTTCTCCTATTATTAACATCTTATATTAGTATGGTATATTTGTTTCAGTTATTGAAACAACATTGAGGTATTATTGACTAGAGTCTATTCTTTATTCAGACTTTCTGAAATTTTAACTTAATATCTTTATTCTGTTCCAGGATCTCATCTAGAATACTACCTTATATTTATTAATCATATCTCAAGTTAATAACTGTTGGCTGTGACAGTTCCTTAGACTTAACCTGGCTTTGATAATCTTGACAGTATTTAAGCGTACTGGTCAGATATTTTGTAGGATGATGGCATATTAGAATTTGTCTGATATTTTTTCATGTTTAGACTGGAGTTATGGGTCTTTAGGAGAAGAAATAAATAGATAACATCACATTTTCATCCTATCACATCCAACGTTAACACTATCAACGTAATTTTTACTATTCATGTTAACCCGGACCACCAGGCTGAGGTGGTATTTAACACATTTCTCCACTGTGAAATTAATGTGGAGTACAGTTACTCCACATTTGCCACAGGAAAGTTAATATTCCTGTTTGTGTGCTCTATGCATTGGGAGGAAGTCATTATGTGTAGCCCATATGTAAAGAATGGAAATTTATGCTCTACCTCCTTAAAGGTGGGGTATCTACATAAATTATTCATAACCCTTCCTCATGGAAGATTTGCCTCTTCTCCTTGATGTACATATTTATTCAATCATTTATTTATATCAGTATAGACTCATGGATGTTCATTGTATGGTTTAGGGTATAAACCAATACTAATTTATTTATTTAGTTGCTCCAACTGTTCCAGCTTTTGCCATTAAGAACTCTTTCAGTTGTCTGTTTTATGACCCTTTGACATAACCCCATTAATGTAGAATAATTATGAGTCCTCAGTGATATAAAGAAATTATTAAATAAAAATAAGTAGGGGATAAGAGACAAACCTCCCGGTAAAAGAATTCCAAATAATTTATGTAGATTCCCTACTCTCAAGGAGATAGAGCAAAAGTTCCCAATTCTTAAGTATAAACTGTATGTAATAACTACTTTCCATAAATAGACTTCGGAAAGGTTCTGGGTAGGGGGAGAATAAACGTACATGAGGAAACTTGAAAAATGCTACCTTATCCAGATGATTTAGGTCAACATCAATAGTAATTAAGCATGTTGATAGTATGTATCCTTGATATTATGTGTTGATAACCACACTTTATCTCTGAAATCATCCTCTCCCAAAAAATCTGTAACCTTCATGTCTAAACATGAGAAAAACCACAGACAAATTCTAGTAGAGGGGCATTCTACAAAAAAATACTTGATTAGTACTCCTCAAACTGTCAAGATCATCAAAAACTAGGGAAGGCTGAGAAACTATCACAGCATACAGTTGCTAGGTCAAGTAAATATGATGACTACATGTAATTCAGTATGGTATGTTGCATGAGGGCTTGGAATATAAAAGGGACATTAAGTAAAAACTAAGTATAATTTTAGTTAAAAATAATATAGCAATATTATTTTATTAATTGTAACAAAGAGCTTTCTTAATGTAAGATGTTAATAACAGAGAAAAATCAGGCAGGATATATGGGAACTTCACTCAACACATTTTTCTTTTCTATAAATCTAAAACTGTTCTAAAAATAAAGCTGTTGTGAAAACAATGTTATCAGATCATAATAGAATTAAATAGAAACCAGCAACAAAAAGATATCTGAAAATTCCTCAAATATTTAAAAATTTAACAACAAAACTCTAAATATCCTATGAATGAGAGAAAAATCCAAAGGAAAATTAAAATATATGATAAACTGCAAAAAAATTAAAACTCAGTAAATAAAAAGTTGTAGAAAGCAGCTAAAGCCTTCCACAGAAGACAATTTATAGCATCCGATGTTTATATTAGAGAAAAAAACTGAGTCATATCAAGTATCTAAGCTTTCAATGTAATATTTTTAAAGAGCAAAATAAATGCCAAACGAGCAGAATAAAAGAACTATTAAGCATTATAGTAAGAATCTGCAAAATTCAAGACAGAATAGAGTAAAACAACAAAACTGAAAGGTAGGCTTTTGAAAGAATCAATAGCGTTCATAAATCTACTGAGGCTGAAAAAGAAAAAATAGAAGACACAAATTATCAAAGTCAACAATAAAAAGTGAGGTGACTATGTTTTTTGCTTTGTTTTGTTTTGAAAATCTGTTTTGAACAGCTAATTAAGTGAATGTACCAACCACTTCCTTTTGGGCTCTCATACTCTGTGGCCACTGTCTACCTACTCTAATCACCCTGGAGCCGGGTAATTAGCCATGCTGCTTAATTCCCATGTATTTGTATAGTATTGTTATTATTTTCTGGCTTTATTCTACTATAGACTGAGAAGATACTTGATATAATTTTAATTTTTAAAAATTCATGGCCAGGCACAATGGTTCACACCTGTAATCCCAACACTTTGGGAGGCTGTGGTGGGCGGATCACAAGATCAGAAGATGGAGACCATCCTGGCTAACATGGTGAATCCCCGTCTCTACTAAAAATACAAAAAAATTAGCCGGGCGTGGTGGCAGGCACCTGTAGCCCCAGCTACTTGGGAGGCTGAGGCAGGAGAACGGCGTGAACCCAGGAGTTGGAGCCTGCAGTCAGCAGAGATCGCGCCACTGCACTCCAGCCTGGGCGATAGAGCGAGACTCCGTCTCAAAAAAAAAAAAAAAAAAAAAATTCATAAGACTTTTGCTTTTCCTAACACATGGTCTATATTGGAGAAGGTTTCATGTGCTGTTGAAAAGGATATATATTCTGGAGTTGTTGGGTAGAATGTTCTCTAAATGTCTGTTAAGTCTATTTGGTCTAAAGTCCAATTTAAATCCAATGTTTCTTTGCTAATTTTCTGTGTCAATCATCTATTTAGTGCTTTGAGTCGGAGCTTCCTCCACTAGTATAGTATTGTTGTCCATCTTTTTTTTTTTTTTTGGGTCTAGTAATATTTGTTTTGTAAATTTGGGTGCTCTGCTATTGACTGCAAATGTATTTAGGATTGTTAATCTCTTGCTGAGTTGATATCTTTACCATTATAAAATGACCATTTTTGACTGTTTTTGATTTAAAGTGAGTTTTATCTAATGTAACTACTCCTGCTCACTTAATGGTTCCCATTTACATGGAATATATTTTTCCGCTTCGTTACTTTCAGTCATATGTGTCTTCACAGCTAAGGTGAATTTTTTCTACACAACATAGAGTTGAATCAAGTTTTAGAATCCATTATGCCAATCTGTGTCTTTTAAGTGGAGCATTTAATTCATTTACATTCAAGGTTAATATTGATATATGAGGCTTTGTTCCCGCCATCTTGTTGTTTTCAAGTTGTTTCATAAATTATTTCTTTCTTTCCTTTTCTGTGTATGTCTTTGTAATTCAGTGAAATTCTGTGTTGGCATTTGATTTCTTATTCTTACTCCTTTGTGTGATTATTTGATACAAACTGTGTGTTTATAAATATCTGTGTTTTCATGATGGTGATTATCAACCTTTAATTTCCTTGTTTCCATGTTTAGTACCCCGTGAGCATTTTCTGTGGGACTAAGCCAGTAGTAGCAAATTTCCTCAGTGTTTGCTTGTCTAGGAAGGATTTTATTTATACTTCGTTTATGAAGCTTATACAAAATTTTTGACTGACAGTTATTTTCATTCAGCACTTTGAAAATGTCATCTAATTGTCTTTTGTCCTGTAAGGTTTTTGCTGAGAAGTCTGTTATTAGTTTGATGGGGTTTCCTTCGTAGGTGACTAGGTATTTTTCTCTTGTTAATTTTGAAATTCCATGGAGTTTGACTTTAGACATCCTGAATATAAGACATTTTTGTGAGATAATTTTTGCAACGTTTTTACCTGGGGATCACTGGGACTTATGTGTCTGGATGTTTAATCCTTTTGATAAACTTGGGAAATTTTGATAAATTATTTTTAAAATATGTTTTCTAAACTTACTAATTTATCTTTCCCCTCAGAAATACCAACAATTCATATTTGGTGACATGAGTAGTCCCAGATGTGTTGAAGCTTTTGTTCACTCTTTCTTATTCTGTTGACTTTATTTTTGTCTGACTATTTCAAAAGACCTGTCTTCAATTCCTGAGATTATTTTTTTCTGCTTTGTCTACTTGGTCTAGTCTATTCTTGAAGCTTTAAAATGTATTTTGCATTTCCTTCAATACTTTTTTATTGCCAGGATTTCTACTTTTTTTTTTAAAGATGTCTATCTCCTTGGTAAATTTCTCATTTTTAAGGTTAGATTAATTTTCTGATTTCTTTGAATTGGCTTTGAGGTTTCACATGCATCTTATTAAGCTGCTTTTTCTTTCTTTCTTTTTTCTCTTCTTTTTTTTTTTTTTTTTTTTTTTTGGAGGCAGATTCTTGCTCTGTTGCCCAGGCTCAAGTGCAGCAGCATGATCTCAGCTCACTGCAACCTCTGACTCCCGGGTTCAAGCAATTCTCTTGTCTCAGCCTCCTAAGTAGAATAGCTGGAATTACAGGCATGTACCAATACACCTGGCTAATTTTTAAATTTTTAGTAGAGACAAGGTTTCACCACATTGGCCAGGCTGGTATCAAACTCCTGACTTCAGCTGATCCACCCACCTCGGCCTCCAAAGTGCTGGTATTACAGGTGTGAGCCACTGTGTCCAGTCACATTGAGCTTCTTTATAATCAGTGTTTTGATGTCTTTGTCTGGCATTTTGAGGAATTCTTTTAGATTAGGATATGTTGCTTAACAATTGTTTTGGTACATTGACTGTGTCATATTTTCCTGTTTCCTGACCCTTACATTGTTTTCTGCAGGTGTGTCAGTCCAAACTCAGGCTCAGGATGGGACACAGCCCAGTGTCAAACTCTCCAAATGGAGCCTTGGACCTGGGACCAGAAAGAGCAAGGCACCTCCCAGGCAAGCAGGATGGATATAAAACGGTGGGGAGTACAGTCTGCTCATGAAAAGATACTCCTAAGAAAATGAAAATACACTCAAAGACTGAGTGAAATTATTTGCAAAATACTTATCTGATAAAGAAATTGTATCCATAATATAAAAGGACCCTCAAAACACAAATATACGCAACTCAGGAAAGGAACAGGTGGAAGTTTTGAACAGGCATTTCACAAAAAACCATCTATGGATGGCAATTAAACACATTAACAGATGTTCAACATTATTATTTGTTGGGAAAATAAAAATTAGAATTCCCCTAAAATACTATTAAGATGAAAGAAATATGTATATATGTATGAGTGCATATGTACTAATCTTTAATAAACCCAATTGCTAGCTTTTTTGTTTATACAAAAACTGTATGCACAATCTAATAACATTGTTATTTACAGTTTCCTTAAACAGAAAACAAATTTCTTTCAATTTGTGAATAAGTAAACAAACTGTGGTATATAATAGAATACAACTTAGCAATGAAAAGAAACAAACTTGATTCAAATAACATGAATAAATCTCAAATATAGTAAACTAAGTACATCTCACAAAATTACTTAGTATATAATTATATTTCCATGACATACTGGAAGAGGAAAAATTATAGGGAAAGATAGGGTGGTGGTTACCACCAGTGGGGCATGAGCAGAGAGTTTTGATTACAGTTGGAATGTGAGAGTCTTTGGGAATGATAAAGATGGTCTTCATCCTTTCCAAAATGATGGGAATAATAACATGGGTTGTTAAAATTTTAAGAAATATACATAAAAAAGACTGAACTGTATTGTATGTTTTCTTTTTGAAGTTTTATGCATGGAAGTGATGAACATTATAATAAATAGTGAGTTTAAAACTCCTACAAAGTACATTTTGCTGAGAGCAATATATTTCTTTGTGATATAGTGGAAAGATTTGCAGTGTTGGAGACCTTTAGCTTACATACATAGTAACTGGAAATGCTGGCTGTTACACTATTAACTAATGACCCAGCATTCAATGTCTGACCTAAATCCTTTAATAAGCACTGACAATAATAATAGATAAATGAGCTTTTCAATGCTGGAGTCACCGGCAATATACAAAGAGTGAAAATATAACAAAATATATAAGTATCTGATTGAATTCATGATCATTTCATGAAACTGACCTTATTTATTCATGAGTGATAATGTAATTATAATCTAATATAAAAGGTTTATTTTTGCTGAGATTTTCAATTAATAGCAAGTATAAATTATAAAAATAATAGATTATTGTATCTGTGTTTTTATCTTATATTAGCTCTTTTCACATTGCAAAACTTAATATATATATAGTTTACATAATTTCTCTTTATGTGTATAATATAAATTTTTATTTCCAAAGCCAACTTCACAACTTTTGCCAACAAATCAATGTTAAGAAACACTTCAAATTTATGAATTATTTTGGTTAATGTCTTTGTTTTACTCCAATATCATGATTCCAATGATAAATTAAATTACTTAGCTGGAAGTTATTTTAATGACTCTATTTTCTCAAAAAAATTGACATTATAATATAATATTATAGAGTGTATGAGTGCCAGAAGAAATAAATTGAATTTTAAAAGACTATTACTGATACTGATAAAATATAAAAGAAAATCTACCTGAAACACCACAGCTTCTCCTCTGAAATTATGGCAATATCTTGATAAAAATATATTATGAGGTTAAACCATTATAATTTTATCTTTTTTTTCTCTTTACTGATCTTTCAAGGTTAAAAGCTTCTTTAAAATTCATGATGGCAAAAATAGAAATTATTTTGAAAGAAACTCAATGTCATTTTTAGCTAAAATAATAATTTATTTGAATTTAATAAAGTTGCTTAGAATGCTCCAAATATTATAAAATATGCCATTTAAATAATGCAGATAAATCTTTAAAGTGCTAAGCTTATGAGATTTGCAAAATTAACTTTCTAATTACTGTGTGTCAGAAAAGAGAATGCTGATAGGCATTTTCCAACTGAATGAGGCACAATTTAAGAGACGAACACTATGCATAGGAGAATATCAGTAGATTTGTATATTATATATACAATAGATATACATTGTATAATATGTAACTATATAATAGATATATTATACAATAATATAACATGATATATTAATGGATATATAAAATATATATATTATTTGTCATCTCCAAACTTTGTTTGTATAAATGCATCAGAAAATAAATATCCCAGACTTTTGTGAAAAGTTCACACAATTTTTTTCATTATCTGATTGGATATTCAACTGAAATATCTACATTAACTTTTAGAATAATATTTGCTTTATTCTACAACAAAATAGCTTAATTTCCCTTTTGAAGTTTATTTTATTTTCAGTGGAATTGTGACATTAAAAGATCTCTAAACACATTTTTATATTGATTAGTGTATTATTATTTATTAAGTCAATAATACAAACAACAATTGCAAATTGATAAGCTGTTGCTTATTAGTGGAATAAATTTAAAGCAACAAAATATAATTTTTAAAATGTACATTTCAGTTTTTGATTTTAATACATTTTTATATTTTACTAAATACTTTTCCCATATCACTATGCAATGATAATTATTTTCCAAATGTCATGAGCTATTTTTTCCTTTACAATCTTTATTTCTAACCTTATAATCTTACATATTAAAATGAGAACTCTAGTACTATAACAGAAACATAATATATATTTCAAAAAATGATAATGGAAAGAAATTTAAATTTAGCTATTGGAGCAAAATAAACATGATCTATCATCATTTTGGAGTATTCTAACTTATTTTTTCATTTTACTTTAAATGTTTTGAAAAATCTGTAAAGAAAGAATTCACCATTACATAGTCTTATTATCCATTCCCCCTAATCAACAAGTTGGACTTTATATTTTATTAATGGTTATTAACGTAGATAATACATTTAAAATAACCTTCAATTAAATATTTTGATATAAGCTTTGTGGTTGCTTTTAGTGATCCTGAAATTATGTAGCAAGGTGTCACAAGGATTCAGTTGAGATGCTGATATACATTTATCATAAGAATATCTCACTTAATGTTATCATTCTGTACTGACTCACATCAGAAAAATCCAAGTGCACTAACATCCTCCACTAAATGCTCTGGTCATTTCTGGAACAGAATGACATCCCTGTCTAATTCAAGAAGATTACCAAATAAACCAAATTTTAATTACTCAGGCCTTTTCCCTTACTCCCTGAAATTTACAGATTTAAACTTCCTTAACTGGTATAATAATATTTAAAGTGTGTGGTTCAAAATTGAGAAGGAATAGGGTTTAGAATAGGGACATAATATGATTTATCACTAGCAAAACTTTCTTATTTCTTGTGTAAAAAGGACAGCTAATACATCATTTTATTCTGAAGTCCACAGGATGCTGAAAAAAAAAATGCATTCAAAGTAAGATTTTTTTTTTTTGAGATGGAGTCTCCCTCTGTCGCCCAGGCTGGAGTGCAGTGGTGCAATCTCGGCTCACTGCAAGCTCCGCCTCCTGGGTTCACGCCATTCTCCTGCCTCAGCCTCCCGAGTGGCTGGGACTACAGGTGCCCGCCAACACGCCCGGCTAATTTTTTGTATTTTTAGTAGAGACGGGGTTTCACTGTGTTACCCAGGATGGTCTCGATCTCCTGACCTTGTGATCCACCCGACTCGGCCTCCCAAAGTGCTGGGATTACAAGCGTGAGCCACCGCGTCTGGCCAAACTAAGATTACATTTAAAAAGGGAGTTTAGGGGGAAATAGGTGATGTTTTCTATTTCATGTTTGTGATCATGCGTACGTTCTCAGTATATGTTCTTCCTCCATTTGGTACAACAAAATCCATTTATCACTGAAGCAGGATGCCTTCCACCAGGCAATAATTACCTTTAGGGATGTTGTCTTTGGAAAACAGTTACATAATGAATAGAACAAACCGTAGAATTAACTAATGTAAAAACGTTTTCTCCTTTCTAAATTCCTTCTATTTTTTGAATAAGGCCTAACAGATGCAAAGTTGCAAAGAAATGTTCTTCAAATAGAAATACGTAAAATTCTGAGACTGAAACAGGAATTCATCTACTTAGAGGAACTCTTTTAATATTTAGGGTTTAAATTGTGTTGTTTGGGGTGAGTCCCTTCAGAGCTTCCATTAGTTGTACCAGGAGTCATCTTCTGCAAAGTCAGAAAACATGGGTTAAGGAATAGGATTTATTGAGACATAAGAAAATTCAGGAGGACAGAATCAGCAAGACAAAGAATCATGTAGTTCCTCATTCTCCACATCTTCCAATGGAGTGTTGTGCCTGTGTGAAGGGCCCAGCTGTAGTGGGCCATGGTTTGGTTCCATTGGAGGGAGCCGACATGGTTTGGTTCCATTGGAGGGAGC
Organism: Homo sapiens; assembly: GCF_000001405.40. NCBI lineage: Eukaryota > Metazoa > Chordata > Mammalia > Primates > Hominidae > Homo > Homo sapiens. The sequence goes on along the minus strand of NC_000004.12, from coordinate 135,697,564 downwards.
CGACTCTAAGAGGGAGTCTCCCTTCTTAGAGTGTGAAAAAAAATAGCCTGTGGTGCCAGTTAGTCTGAAGTGTCTGCTATTTACAGGAGTTGCTTTGGAACTTTGGCTCCAATTCATCTAAGGAATTAGGACCTACCTGTGGTGCCTGTGGAGTGTCACAGTCCAGTTTTACGCCCTTACTTGCTGGTGGTGGTGAGTCACAGATTGAAAGATTTAGTATTGTTCAGATCACTTCAGGTCATTCTTAGACTATTCTGCTCCTAGCATAATTAATATTTTTTTCTTATGTGATTATTTCATGCAAGGCACATATACCAAATTGGAACTCCCAGAGCCTTTTTCTATGACTGCCTAAATTTTAGTTAAAAAAAAATGATGATTCATGAGTAGCAGCATTACAGTTTTATTCATACTGCAACTCAAAGGGGAAAATAAATTAGAAATTTTATTATTTTTAATATATCTGATCTGCCTGTTGAGCCATCTACTACCATGATTTGTGAAGGAAAAGCAAGAACAAATCCAGTCCTAATCTGGGATTAAATATTATTTTGATATAATAATTCATTCTGTTTAAGTTTAAATAAGTGTATTTGAGATATGTAACAGTTTTTCAGGTATTCCCTCTCCTCTAACATGGCATCTGGATATATGGGAAAGGGACTTATATGAGCTCTCAACTTTCGAGGGAAGAGTAGAAATCTGGCTCTATGAAGGTACACACTGCTGTCAGACAAACTGAGATCTGTCAATCTTTTGCCAAAGAAATCAGAGCTCTGTGGTTTCCTGTTTTAGTTAGACCTTAATCTGACTGTTACGATGCCACTGCTGTTTCATATCTTAGATGTCATATCTTCCTTCTTTTGCATTTAGCTTATGCTCTCACTCTGCTGCCTTGTTCTCCTTCCCCAGGACTGTGGACCCACTGGCAGTCCATAACCTATATCTGCCACCAAGGAGCTAAGGCAGACTGAAGAAAACATGCTTGGCCCGCTTTCTGCCTGTTCACATCAACTATGCTATAGCTACCTGGAACCCACCTGCCCGGAAGCCTCCCGGAAGACCCAGTTAAAAGTGAACCTGGAATTCCTCAGCCTTTGAGTTATGCATGGAATATAATTTCATTACTTCTGTGGCATCAAATCCCCAGGGTGAACACCCGTGTTTTTCATTCTCTTTTTATTCTTAGCTTAAACTAAAATCTCCTCTTCTCTTTTGCTGAGAAACACCTAAGAATCATGTCCTTTTTTTTTTTTTTTTTTTTTTTTTTTTTTGAGACAGAGTCTCACTCTGTTGCCCAGGCTGGAATGCAGTGGTGTGATCTCCGCTCACTGCAACTTCCTCTCCCAGGTTCAAGCGATTCTCCTGCCTCAACCTCCCAAGTAGCTGGGACTACCTGTGTGCGCCACCACACCTGGCTAATTTTTGTATTTCACCATATTGGCCAGGCTGGTCTCGAACTCCTGACCTCGTGATCCGCTCGCCTCGGACTCCCAAAGTGCTGGGATTACAGGCATGAGCCACCGTGCCCGGCTGCATCATGTCTTCTTCTCCCAACTCTTCCTCATATTGCCTTTTATATTCCCATAACAATCTGGATCATTGTTTTTTGAAAGACTATTCATGAAAAGTTAACATTTGAAATGTTCTTAAAACAAAAAGAAAAAAAAATAGGGAATTGATATAGTTTGGCTCTGTGTCATCACCCAAATCTCATGTTGAATTGTATTCCTCAATGTTGGCAGAGGGACCTGGTAGGAGGTGCTTGGATCATGGGGGCAGTTTCCCCCTTGCTGTTCTCCTGATAATGAGTGAGTTCTCACAAGATTTGATTGTTTGAAAGTGTGTAGCACTCCTCCTTTTGCTTGCTCTCTCTTTTCTGCCACCATGTGAAGATGTGCTTGCTTCCTCTTCACCTTCCACCATGATTGTAAGTTTCCTGAGACCTCCTCCACCATGCCTCCCGTGGAACTGTATGTCAATTAAAACCTCTTTTCTTATAAATTACCCAGTTTCAGGTAGTTCTTTATAGCAATGGGAGAACTAACTAATACAGAAGTAAATTCCAAGAGTGAATTATTTTTTTCCTCTGGCAGACTAGCTCAACTTAAATATATTTTGTACATTAGCCCAGTTAGATAACTCAGAAAATTCAATCTAGTAAAATCATTTTAAGTATAGAAGAAATTAAGACCTAAATACACCAACTTTCTCAAAGAAGTAAGAGAAAGTACTAGAACCCTTTCATCTTCTCTGGCCTTAATATTCTTTCCTGACTCTCAAAAAGCTCAAAAAGCTGTATAATATGTAGAGCCCTATCATTATTAGAGCCACATTGTTATCATCAGTAAACTATAATGGTCAACTTTTAGAAAATAATCCTATATGAAGTTTTAGCTAAATACCTGCACCAAAGGAGGAGCATACTTAAAGAATGCTATACAATGTCTGTACATAGAATTCTGAAATCCATATTTCAGAAAACAGTAACCAAAAATCCTATTCAACACTAGATAACCAAGACAATGCAAAAATGAACAGAAAATATATGAAAGAAAACCCATTTTCCCTTGTTGAGAAATCCAAACTCTAGAGCCTTCTCTGGTGCAAAAGGCTTGAAAGTTTTTCACCATGTTAATAAAGTAAATAATGAAAAATATGTGTTTACCTATAAAATAGCAGAAACGCAAATGTTAGCATTAGTGCAAAGTAATAAAATTCCAAAAAGATGATGCAGAAAGATGATGGATGCAATTTATCAACAGTACATATTTTCTCAGGCTTTCTAAAGGTGAAATATAACATGCATTTAAATGTCTATATTTGAGGAATGGCCTATCAAATATTTTTAAATCTGATGAAATAAAAAGTAAGACATATAAATATAATATTAGTGATAATCTGCATTTTTCCTACTTAGACTTATTTTTCATTGTTCAACATATTCATAATTCTCTTATTACATCTAAGACCCATTTAAATCCATAATTGTCTCATTTGAGCTCAGCATGGTTACCATTTAAAAGCTTTTTTTAAAGGTGTCCATACTGCTCTGGTGCATAATAAGCTGTTTTCAATCTTATGATAACATGATGAGACCCTCACTTGAGCCTAGAATGATTACATCTTAACTCAGTATGAATGCTGGATTGATGTTTTGTATTTCACGCTTTGGAAAAAAGAAACAATAAGTTAAAATAGCAATTGAAACCCAATATATCATTTCAGATTTCAAACCACAGGTGTTCTATGTGCCTTAACTGTAAAGTGCTAATGAAAGTTTATTTCATGTGGATTAAAAATGACGTAATTAGAATATGTCTTTCATTAGGAAATTATAATAATTTATGATTGCATAAAATCAAATTGTTTATTTGGTTTTATCTTTTGTAATTTACTAGTGACTCAAGTATATTTGAAATGTTAACCATAGTTTCAGGGTATTTTTAATTCACTTCTTTCATGAAATTTCAAAAGAAATACATTATTAAAACTAATATATGTAGTCAACTGTAATAATAAGTAAACTAAAGCAAGTATTTTGTATTAACAAAAATCACTAGAGCTACATATGGTGTCATGTCATTAATCTATATTTAAGTCATTCTAATTTTTTACTAGAATGTGTTTTTCAAGCCAATACATCTTTTAAAATATATTTATCTTTAATCAGAGATAGAAAACTTTGTTTTCTGTACAATTACTGTTCAAAGATTGGGAAAATTTGGGCTATCTGAAGAAAGAGTATTTCATTTCCACTTGGTTGACACGTCTCTCTAATTTTATAGATGGCTAATGTGTCTTGCATAAGTTCTTTTTCAGAATAACAATATCTAAAGGAACTGAATGACATTAATTTAAGACTATGTATAGAAATACTAAAGAAAATCCAGAGTTCATGACTTAATATAATGCTTTTAGATCATTAAAATTATATGTAAATGGGAGATCTATTTAGGCATCTTTATCTATACCTTATTCATAACATGATTCAGTATATGACTAAGAACATAACTCATTCAACCTAAAGGTCTGTTTTGGGAGAGCATAATTTGTAAATTTTACAAAAGCATAAAATATATAAAAGCACTTTCAAAGTATAAATTGTATGCGGTGAACTTGCAAAAATGCTTCAGCTTATCAAAAGCATTTAATCTTCTGTTTTAAAATATACTGTTCAACATATTTACTAAGTTTGACATCAACTGCATATTGCATAACACATCTCTTTTTATTCTTTGTTTTATATGTACATTTTCATAACTTATAATTAACCTTTCCTCCTTTCCACCTCTTGTCTTTCAGGATTTGGTGCATACATACCCTAACTGGTTTTATTTATAAGACATGTAAAGTGCTAAAAGAAATTATCAGGGTATTTGTATTATATTACAAATTTAATAACTATGCTTCTAAACTGCAAAGAATCAATTAGTATTTTATGAAATTTATGTTAATAATATGGGAATATATTTTGAAAACAATTTATATTTTAGAATAGCTAAAGGATCAGCATGTTTATTAGAAAGCACATTCTCAGATATTTTATTGAAAAACAGCTTCAGATAAATAGTGGGTAACAATTTCTTGTTTTTTGCTATTGTTCAAACTGCTACAGTTAATTTAAATGCAACTTTGTAGTGCTTTTGAAAACTATTGAACAAGACCATACATTTTCATTCACAGAATAAATGAAAAATGTATTATATTGTTTTACATTTTTCCTTTTTGATTTTGGAAGTGTTTATCCTGGTCTCCATTCCAAATAGAGATCATTTTGGATAAGTAATGGTCTGATATTAATACTACAAGCATACAAATTTTACTCTTTCAAATATATAATTTGTACTGTCACTTAAAAGACAAAGAAAACAAAGTGTATAGTTAAAATTCTGTCTTTCAAAGTAGATGAGTAGTAAAAGGAAACATTTTATTATAGAATGGATGGTTGTATTTTATAGAGTGTTTTGAAATCTTGCTTTCATTAAAATTTGTTAACAATATAAAACAAACACACAGCATCCATTCTAAAAACAACACTCCCTCTGACAAATCCATCAATATATTTTAAGCACAAAGAGCTTGTTTACAGATATCACTTGGAGATTTTTAAAACAGAATGAAATTATACCTCAAATCAATATTTCAGATACCTTAAAATGATCCATGTTTCAATACCTTGTATGTAGAACTATTGTGATTTTTCACATGAGAAGAGCTCCTATGATATATGAATAATACTTGAAATAAAATATATTGCTAACTAAATTATTTCAGACTCATAAACAGTTAAGCCTTTTCCATAAATTTTGAAAATAATTTATTTTTTAAAAGATATATATGCAACATTTTGGGTAGTCATATTTTCCAAGTGACATCAGAAATAAAATAAGATCATTTTAACTATGTTTCATTATGCAATTTAATTTTAATTTTAATCCATGGTTGGTGTGAGGTTTCTTAGTGTGATGCATACAAGATTAAAACTTATACCATGCACCAGATGTAAAATAGCATTTTCTCTCAATGAATCATAGTTTATAGTTTCATTTTATTTCTTTATTAATGGAGTACCAAAATTACTATCCATAATTTCTGTATTGTGTCTAAAATTATGTTGCTAAAATTTACATGAATTTAATTCCATTTTGTGTTTAAAATAAAATATTATTTATACTGATGAAAATCAATAAAACTACAAATATTACGTAAGGTGATTTTTAGAAGGGATAGAATTATATAAGTTCATATAAAAACATAGCAACATCTACATTTATATTGAGATATAAATTCTTTCTGTATTTATATTTATAAATGTTTATAAGTATTAATAAACCAGTTTTTCCATTAAAAAGTGGAATGCCCCTTCCAGTTAGATTTTAACTACTGATTTCCAAATTGCATTCTTCTTTCTGATATCACACAATTACTAAAACAAAACAACACATATTAACCATTATCTATATCTTCAGCAAATAATTTTCTTGGAAAAATATATAAAATGAATATTAATTTTGAATTAGAATAAATCATTGCCAGCAATTATTTCGAGACTTAGATTATTATTTTATGTACGTGTTGAAAGTAACAACTATATACAATAGATTTTAAAATTAAAACTTACCATATCTATTTTTATAAATATATAATATCTAAATGATAGTTATACCTCTGTAACATATGTCATTAACAACATATTTTGGAAAATATCTTTGTCTAAGGATGTCTTCTTACATTAAATGGTTTTACATTTTGAAAACTTAGGTAAATGTCAATTTAAAATTAATTAAATATAAGAAAATTATGAAATGGAATCTGCTTCCTGGTAATTTAGAAAGAGTAAAATTAAAGTGAGCTGTCAGATTAAAATTGGTTCCTTGAAGATTTTACTACTATGTTTCTGACATAATCAAACTAAAAAAAACAGCGTAAATTATTTTATTATTAGTATTAGGCACTTTCAACAGGTCAGATCAATTTACAGTTCTGATTACCATATTACTTGATCTCTGTTTAGACTTTGGTATTGTTGACCATTTTTTTCCAACTTGGAATCTTAATTTCTTTGCTTTCAATTATGACTTTATTTTCTAGATCACCTTCCTTTTCTGTTCAGTGTTTTATGTCTCTTCTTTCAACCAAACCTTAAATGGAATTTTAAAAATATTTTCTTTACTTCTTCTACCTGAGTTACCTTAAAGAATCAAAGTTTCCACACAGCCCTATATCATACAACTCACAAATGAATTTTACCTGAGATTAAACACATAAGTTTTTCAAGCATATATGGGACTTCTATGTAATACTCCTCAAAATTACTCAGTATGGTTCCCCAGAACTTTTTCTCATTTTATATTATCCATCTTGTTTAATATACACATCAGTGGATCAGTTACCCAAGTAAGAAACCTACTGTAAAATATTAATTATAAAACCAACCCTTTAACACATACATTCAATCACTTTCTAATCCTGTTGTTTTGTTTTTACTTCCTTAACCTTCTTCACTTCTCTCCTTTTCATTGCTAGTATTTCTGCTTGTTTCAGGTCATGAATTACTTTTGTGTTTATATAAATACAAACAATGACAGAAACAAAACCTTACTCAGGATACTAATAATATCTATAATACTTTTTAAAATGTATTAAATATATCCTGTTCCCAAGGCACTTTCCAATTGCTTTGCATAAATTATCTCAATTAATCCACAAGACTGCCCTGATTTAGGATTTAATATCTCCCTTCACAGATAAGGAAACTGCAACGTGTAATGATTAGGTAATCTGTCCATGCTCAGTTAGATAACAAGAGGCAGAACTGAGATGGGAAACTACAGAGCCTGGGATTCTGATCCCAAATTCTTCAAGCCTCTTCTACCTTATCTGTCATTGAAAAAATCTAGTTTCCTTAGTGTTGAGATCTTCCATGATTAAATGACTATTCTCTCTCAAATGCCATCTGATAATATTCTCTCTTAAGGTCTACATCTCAGGCACTCCATTTCCTTAAGTGTATAACATTTTTTTCTTACTTCGTGTATTCATATCTGTCACAGCCTGTGAGACATTGTGCATTCTTTCTGCTCTGTTTTCTGCCTTTTTCACTCCTATTCTCCATGCAGAATCCTGCTTGTTTCCTGTGAATTTACTTTTGACCCACTAAGGTATGATTTATCAAGTTTTCTTTTGTTATCACTATGTCATTGATCTTACAACAACAGATTTACAGCATTTACATAACTTTATGGTTCATCTACTACAATATGGCACAGGAATATATATTATTTGCATTTGTATTTTTTTTTAAAATTATACTTTAAGTTCTGGGATACATGTGCAGAACGTGCAGGTTTGTTGCATAGGTATACACGTGTCATGATGGTTTGCTGCACCCATCAACCCATCATCTACATTAGGTATTTCTCCTAATGTTATCCCTCCCCTAGCCCATGACCCCCTGACAGGCCCCGGTGTGTGATGTACCCCTCCATGTGTCCCTGTGTTTTCATTGTTCAACTCCCACTTATGAGTGAGAACATGTGATGTTTGACTTTCTGTTCCTGTGTTAGTTTGTTGAGAATGATGGTTTCCAGCTTCATCCACGTCTCTGCAAAGGACATGAACTCATCCTTTTTTATGGCCGCATAGTATTCCATAATGTATATGTGCCACATTTTCTTTATCCAGTCTATCATTGATGGGCATTTGGGTTGGTTCCAAGTCTTTGCTATTGTAAATAGTGTGGCAATAAACATACATGTACATGTATCTTTATAGTAGAATAATTTATAATCTTTGGGTATATACCCAGTAATGGGATTGCTGGGTCAAATGGTATTTCTGGTTCTAGATCCTTGAGGAATTGCCACACAGTCTTCCACAATGGTTGAACTAATTTACACTCCCACTAACAGTGTAAAAACGTTCCTATTTCTCCATATCCTCTCCAGCATCTGTTGTTTTCTGCCTTTTTAATGATTGCCATTCTAACTGTTGTGAGATGATGTCACACTGTGGTTTTGATTTGCATTTCTCTAATGATCAGTGATGATGAGCTTTTTAAAAAATGTTTGTTGGCTGCATAAATGTCTTCTTTTGAAAACTGTCTGTTTATATCTTTCGCTCCCTTTTTGATGAGATTGTTTTTTTCTTCTAAATTTGTTTAAGTTCTTTGTAGATTCTAAATATTAGCCCTTTGTCGATTCTAAATATTAGCCCTTTGTCAGATGGATAGATTGCAAAAGTTTTCTCCTATTCTTTAGGTTGCCTGTTCACTCTGATGATAGTTTCTTTTGCTGTGCAGAAGCTCTTTAGTTTAATTAGATCCCATTTTTCAATTTGGCTTTTGTTGTCTTTGCTTTTGGTGTTTTATTCATGAAGTTTTTGCCTACGCCTATGTCCTGAATGGTATTGCCTAGGTTTTCTTCTAGGGTTTTTATGGTTTTAGGTCTTACGTTTAAGTCTTTAATCCATCTTGAGTTAATTTTCGTGTGAAGTGTAAGAAAGTGGTCCAATTTCAGTTTTCTGCATATGGCTAGTCAGTTTTCCCTATACCATTTATGAAATATGGAATCCTTTCCCCATTGATTGTTTTTGTCAGGTTTGTCAAATATCCGATGGTTGTAGATGTGTGGCGTTATTTCTGAGGCCTCTGTTCTGTTCCATTGGTCTATATATCTGTTTTGGTACCAGTACCATGCTGTTTTGGTTACTATAGCCTTATAATATAGTTTGAATTAATAGCCTACCAACCAAAAAAAGCCCAGTACCAAACAGATTCACAGCCAAATTCTACCAGACATACAAAGAGAAGCTGGTACCATTCCTTCTGAAACTATTCCAAACGATAGAAAAAGAGGAACTCCTCCCTAACTAATTTTATGAGGCCAGCATCATCCTGACACCAAAACCTGGCAGAGACACAACAACAACAACAAAAAAAAAAAAAAGAAAGAAAAAGAAAAAGAAATTTCAGGCCAATATTCCTGATGAACATCGATGAGAAAATCCTCAATAAAATACTGGCAAACTGAATCCAGCAGCATATCAAAAAGCTTATCCACCATGATCAAGTCGGCTTCATCCCTGGGATGCAAGGCTGGTTCAACATATGAAAATCAATAAATGTAATCCATCACATAAACAGAACCAATGATAAAAACCACATGAGTATCTCAATAGATGCAGAAAAGGCCTTCAATAAAATTCAACACCCCTTCATACTAAAAACACTCAATAAAGTAGGGATTGATGGAAAGTATCTCAAAATAATAAGAGCTATTTTTCACAGACCCACAGCCAATATCATACTGAATGGGCAAAAGCTGGAGGCATTCCCTTTGAAAACTGGCACAAAATAAGGATGCCCTGTCTCACCACTCCTATTCAAAATAGTATTGGAAGTTCTGGCCAGGGCAATCAGGTAAGAGAAAGAAATAAAGGGTATTCAAATAGGAAGAGAGGAAGTTAAATCATCTCTGTTTGCACATGACATGACTGTACATATAGAAAACCTCATTGTCTAAGCCCAAAATCTCCTTAAGCTGATAAGCAACTTCAGCAAAGTCTCAGGATATAAAATCAATGTGCAAAATTCACAGCATTCCTATACACCAATAACAGACAAACAGAGAGCCAAATCATGAATGAACTCCCATTCACAATTGCTACAAAGAGAATAAAATACATAGGAATACAACTTACAAGGGATGTGAAGGACCTCTTCAAGGAGAACTACAAACCACTGCTGGAGGAAAAAGAGAAGACACCAATAAATGGAAAAACATTCCATGCTCATGGATAGAAAGAATAGATATCATGAAAATGGCCTTCCTGCCCAAAGTAATGTATAGATTCGATGCTATCCCCATCAAGCTACCATTGACTTTCTTCACAGAATTAGAAAAAAACTGCTTTAAATTTCATATGGAACCAAAAAAGAGCCCGTAAGCACAAAGAACAAAGCTGGAGGCATCATGCTATCCTTGTATTCTTACAGACTGTAGACATTTGATAATATATATATTTTTTTATTTTTAAGTTCCAGTGTACATGTGCAGTATGTGCAGCTTAGCTACATGGGTAAACGTGTGCCATGGCAGTTTGCTGCACTTATCAACAACCCATCACCTAGATATTAATCCAAGCATGCATTAGCTATTCTTCCTGATGCTCTCCCAACCCCCACTGAAAGCCCCCAGTGTGTGTTATTCCCTGCCATGAGTCCATTTGTTCTCATTGTTCAGCTCCCACTTATAAGTGAGAACATGGGGTGTTTGGTCTTCTGTTCCAGCATTTGTTTGCTGAGAACAATGGCTTCCAGCATCATCCATGTCCCTGCAAAGGACATGATCTTGTTCTATTTATGGCTGCATAGTATTCCATGATTGTATAGGTACCACATTTTCTTTATCCAATCTATCATTGATATGTATTGTGATGCTATTGTGAATAGAAGAAAGCTCTTCTTTGTAACTCTGGTAGAGTTCAGCTATAAATCCATCTGATCCTGGGCTTTTTTTGGTTGGTAGTCTGTTTACTGCTACCTCAATTTCAGAACTTGTTATTGGTAAATTCAGCAATTCAACTTCTTTCTGGTTCAGTCTTGGGAGAGTGTATGTTCCCAGGAATGTGTCCATTTCCTCTAGATTTTCTATAAACACCTCTATGCAAATAAAATCAATATTTTTAAAATGAGTTTCAGATTTCTCAATTATACATTTTTCCCCCTCTGGCAATAGAATTGGCACTGTTTTAGAATGGGGCATCTTAGAATTACTATATTTCTTAGTATTTTAGTCACATAATAATCTAAATTTGTGTGGGCAAATTTATGTAGATAAAAAGATTGAGAAGCAGTAAGCTGAGTGGACTTACCTACCCATCATACAGTAAGAGAAATCTCTCATATAGCACATTCCCTGCTGTGCATTTCCATGTTCTACTTTACTGTTTTCACCAAAGGTCTAATATGACTTTATTTATTTTGATCCATAAAATGATTTATTCTCCCTGGTGATTACCAATTTGAACTGTACTTCCCTCAGTAGATTTTCCAGGATCTCATCTCTACAGTCAATAAACAAAGGCTGAATACAATTTCTTCAAAAATGCACATTCTAATTTAGAACACTATTTGAAGCAATTGGCAGTTTTATATGCTAAATATCTCAAGTTTTATGAAATCCTGTACTAGGAGTTAAGATCTCATCAGGAAATAAATGAGTACATTATGAATAAATAAAAATAGAGATGCATGTTTTTACATATTAAACAGAAACCCAGCTTTTATTATTATAGCATAAAATTATTATAATACATCAATGTTTTCATCTTCTATCATATCACATGTTAACATAATTAATATTGACTAGCTGGAAACTGTTTCATGTAAGATTATAAATAAATGTTAAAGATAAATAATTAAACAAAGAGATCATTTGGATATTGTGGTTAAACTACTTACCCATATCAGCTTGAGTTGCAGATCTAAGCCAATTCATTTAATTTTCCCGTTAATTTTTTAGTTTGAATGTGGATTGTAAAAGTTATCAAAAGAATTTTGCTTTGTTAATGTTTTGGTTACTAATTGCTGCAGAACCAAATACTCACAAACTTTTTGAATTAAAATAGCAGTCATTTAATATATTTCATAACTGTATGTGTCAGAAAATTGAGCAGAGCTCCGCTGGACAGTTCTATACCAGGTGGCAAAAGTTAGGTTCACTCAGTGGTATTCATGTGGTGCCTGTTTTGGTATGGAGGGTCAAAAACAAAGTAACTTCTATATTTTGATGGCTAGAAGTAGATGGTCAGGACTGGATGGGACTATCTTCCCTCAGTGTAGTCTCGGGGCCTCTCCATGTATTCTTCTTTCAAGGATATTGAGGCTTCCTATCAAGTCTCCTGGGGATACAAGAGTGAGTGCTCAGATAGGAACTTCAAGATTCCTATGATCTAGTCCCAGAACATACTACCTACTACATTTAGCCATGTTTAGTCCGTATTCAGACACTGATTCAAGATAAAGGAAGAAATAGACACTATTTCTTATGAGGAAACTACATACATGTTTGGGAAGAGAAAGAATTGACAGCAGTCCCTTGAAAATATGTTGCTAAAGTTACTTACTACAATAAACTTTTAAGAATCATAACCCAACTATTTTAAGATTCCACTAAGATTGTCCTATAATATTAATTTTTTGTATATGAAAGCATGGACATATTTTACCAGTTTCATTATATATTCATATGCATATTATATTCATCAGTTCTGTCAATTAAAAAATATCACCCCCGAACAGGCTATTAAAATTTACTTCTGAAGAATATGCTTAAAATTTGGCCCACATGGCCAGGTGTGGGGGCTCACACCTATAATCCTAGCACTTTGGGAGGCCCAGCGGGGTGGATTGCCTGAGCTCAGGAGTTGGAGACCATCCTGGGCAACACAATGAAACCTCATCTCTACTAAAAACACACAAAAAAGTTAGCTGGGTGTGGTGGCGGGTGCCTGTAATCCCAGCTACTCAGGAGGCTGAGGGAGGAGAATCACTGGAACCTTGAAAGCAGAATTTGCAGTGAGCCAAGATCGCACCATTGCACTCCAGCCTGGGCAACAAGAGCAAAACTCCGTCTCAAAAAAAAAAAAAAAAAAAAAAATTGGCCCACGTTAAAAATAAATTAAATTCTGTATATAATAAATTTCTACTTGCAGCCAAACTTTAGTCTTTATTATCTGATATAATTCTCCATTTCTTAGGGACACAGATGGCTCAAGTTTCAGGAATACAAATTTGTGATTTTTTTTTTTATTTGTCATAAACAAATGCAAGCACATTTGGAATTAAGTCTGGAACAGAAGATATGATTTTTTTTTTCTTGCTTTCATCTACAAAATCCAAAAATACTTTTGGCCACTGAGAATATGTCGAGGATGGGTATAACATGACTGAAGTGGCTTCTTAAAACTCCTCTTTCTCTATGCTTTTTAAAATATATAATTTTCCATATTATTAGATTTCATTTGCTACTAAGCTCTTGGGTTCTTTGTTCTACAATATTTTCTCCTGTGAGTCCTAGAATTTCTTTTGATTGATATTTCAGATAAACATCCTATTTGGAAGGCTGCTTAAAAACAGAAAGAAAAGAATCTCAGGCACATAACACTTTACATTTTACATAATTTTAATTTTTAGTCAATAAAGTAAAACAAAATATTGTTGCACTAATTTGAGTATATTTTTGATCAATAAATTACATGTGAGGGAAAATGGTGTGCCATGAACGGTTAGCATTGGCATACATTGATCTTGGACTCTAGTTTACATCAGAGATACACTGCTTAATAACTTTGAAAATTTACTCTAAATACTAGAATATTTGTATTGTAAAAAGGTTAACATCAACAGGATTATTTTAATACAGTATAAATATTTACTGTGATAAATTTCATATGTATAATTACTTTCAGAAGAAATTCAACATGATTAATACGTTGTTTCTTTTTAAAAACAATTTAAACAATGACGGACTCAATGTGCAAACATTTTGTATAAAAGTTTTGCATTTATGCTTCTGAGTAAGATTGTCCTTGTCTTATTTTGGTAGCAAGTTTATGTAAGTCTCATGTAAAAAGATGGGAGTTATTTTTTTTTCCTTTTTGTATGCTCTTTACATATTTGTGAAATACTAAAATTATTCATATATATATATATTAGAAGTTTCTAGAATCCCTTCTTAGTCCTAGATTTTATTTGTGGGTCTGAATTATCGATCCATTTTTAAGGAGTTTTTAAATTTTGGAGTTTTATGTATCTTTTAAATTTCATCTCAGTAAGACATATTATTAAGAAAATTATGCATTTTATTTATCTTTCCAAAGCATTGAATTAAAAAAGAAAAATACAATAATTTAAGGATTAATAATAAAATAAGCAGGTAAGATGCCCATCATCGAGCTTATTAAAAGGAGCATTACCAACATTTAGAAAGCTGCTTTTCAGCCGTTTCTAATTCATACACTCTTCTCTCCTCAAAAGTTAAGGTTATATTAAATATAGAGATGCATATTGCGTCGCTTTGCTTTGTAATGTTAGTACATGTGAATGTAACCATATAAAATAACAAGGGTTTAATTGTTCCTGTTTGGGGACATAATATAAAGTGAAATTGTACAATTTATGTGAAGTTGATAATATTGCACCCAATGAGTTTTATTGTGTGATAGGAAGAGCAACACCTCACTCCCAGTGATTAGTCCACACCCTAGTCTTTGGCACCAGTTAAAATCACATGCTATGTTACACTGCAAAAGGGACTTTGTAGATGTTTTAAGTTATAGAACTTAAAATAGGGAGATTACCATGGTTTTCTGGGTGGTCCCAATAAAATTATATAAATCCTTAAAAGCTGAGAACTTTCTCTGACTGGAGCCTGTGAAATGCAGCAGAAGAAGTAAGAGATTGCAAGCACAGGAAACTTCCCATGAAATGTTGCTAGTTTGAAGAAGTAAGGGACTTGCATGGAAAGCATAAGAAGGAAATGAATTCTGCAGCAACCAGAGAACTTAAGGAAAGAGGACTCTGATTTCCCAGAGGAGAAGTGCAGCCCCAGCCCCATCTCAACTTTTGCTCAGTAAGACCTTAAGCAGAGTACCCAGTTGAGCCTCCTAGACTTCTGGTCTAAATAAATTGTGAGATAATAAATGAGTGTTACTTTAAGCCACACAATAGTGATGATATTTATAAGGAGAAAATAATTGATTCAATAAATTATTTTTAATTTACCAAGTGTTTAAAGATTTATTTTCTCACCATTTGCTTGTGCCTATCAGGACTTCCTTCTTAGGTCATATTCTATCTTCTTTAAGTATATCTTAGAAGTTACTTTAGTGAGATTTTTGTCTTGGAACATTCTCTGAATCTTTGACCTATTTTTGAATAATAACATTCTTCTTTATACAGCATTTTGAAGATATTTCTTGTCTTGTGTGATTCAGTCATGCTGCTGAGTTGTCTGGTGTCAAACTGATATCTCTTTACAAATCACCTGTCCTTTCTATCTGGCTGCTTTCACAATGCTTTCTCTTTTTGTGGTTTGCAATTTTGCGATTATTGGTAGAGGTATGCCTTTCTTAGTGGCATACGGGTAAAGTAACTCTCCTGTTAAAGCAAAATAACTCCTCCCCCTCAAAAAAACAAAAACCCAAAATCTCTCTGTAGTGTTTTCTGAGGTTTATTATATTTCCACCATGGCCAGTTCAAGCTATCAATGTTTTAAAGATCAGCTGGTAAATTTCTGAATGTTTAACAGAAGACTCTCATGGGACACTATGAACTGGCTACAGCACAGTACTGCCTTCTTTGGTTTATGTTTAAAGGAGTCATTTTACTTTCATGATCTAAACCTCCATGACTTTTGTTACTTTTGGAAAATCCTCAATATCGCTTTGCATTTTTACCTCTCTTGTCTCTTCCTGAAATTTAATTAGATGTACACTAGATTTTCTTACTCTGTCCTCCTTATCTCCTATGCTGTTTCCTTTTGTGAATCTTTTCCCTCTATGCTCCATTCTGAGTAATTAATTTAGATCTATCTTCCTGTGAAATAAATGTATTTCTAGCTATAATCTTCTCATTAACCCATTAATCAATTATTATTGATTTTAATTTTGATTTAAACATTCAGTTTGGCCACTTTTACACATTTTGATGTTTCTATGGTTTATATTTATGCATATGTTTCCAGTTTTCTTTTTATGTTCATATATATTTTTAGTTTACCTGTTTCCTATGGCATTTGATAATTCTAGTATCTGGATGTCTTCAGTTAGTATTCTGTTGCTTCCTGTTATATTGACTCTTGTGTGGCGTTTTTTTCTTTTTGAGTGAGAGCTTATGTTTGCCGAGGTTTAACTTGTGAGAATTTTGAAGGATATGGCTGCAGGTATGTTTTTCAATAGAAAATTTGCATTTATTCATTCTATATATCTAATTTCAAAACCAATATCTTTCAGTTGTTTCCTTGGTCTTGGATTTCCTGGATCATCCACATCATGAACAATCAGACATCAAACTAATGTGAGGTCAAGCTGGTACATGCAAATTCTTAGAGGAAATTCTTTTCTTGTACAATTATTTTTAAGGCCTAAGATATACAAATTACCTTATATGGTTGCATGGCTATACATATATTTTTTGCCATCTTCTTACTTAGGTTATAATCTATCAATATTCCTGGCTTTCTGTATTGTTTACTATTACAACATCTCACCTAATGATAGCTAAAATTTTGCCTCCAGTAAGCTATTAAAATTCAACTATCCAAATTACTGGTATCAGCAGAAACTTGCAGGAAAACCTACAGGTTAAGTATTTTCTTTGAATATGTTTTTAGCTCTCTCTTCATTTCTTTACTTGGTTTATTATCTTGCTTTATTATGCCCTCAGTCAAAAATATAAAAGCATTTTTGTTATATCATATGCAGCATTCTTATAATGGGAAAGTTCTCAGAATATTTAATCTGACATGTTGCCAAGAAAAAATATAATGTGTTTTTAAATGCAAATAAATGACAGCCAAAATGAATTAGGGAATTACACAGACAGTAACATAGTCAACAAGTGATACATATGACATTATGTATACATATAACATATATATATATAAAGGTAGAAATTGTTTATGGATTCTGGCCTTTTCTTAATACATTATTTACTTATAATGGCATACTTAAAGTTTTGGTATGTCATTTGAATTCAGGTTATGATAATTTATTTAGAATAAAACATTCAAATCATTTTTCATGTCAAAATTCTCTGTGTTTTGGATGCCATCCTTTAAAGTCAATGTTTAGTGTAGATGTTATATAAAGATATAAAGATGTTTAAGATGGAACAATGTATAAGCGAGTTCCTTCTTCTTAGGGATAGAAGTTTAATTTTTTTGTGAAATAGTTTTCATGTATGTATAATTTATATTAATGGAATATACTCTTTTTTTGAACATGATATATTGTTCTGAAATTTTCTATACTTTAAGAGCTGAGCTGGGTGTGGTGGCTCTCACCTGCAATCCCAAGACTTTGGGAGGCCAAGGTGTGCAGATCACCTGAGGTCAGGAGTTTGAGACCAACCTGGCTAACATGGCTAACATTTCTGCTAAAATACAAAAATGAGCGGGGCCTGGTGGCTGGCACCTGTAATCACAGCTACTTGGGAGGCTGAGGCAGGAGAATCGCTTGAACCTGGGAGGTGGAGGATGCAGTGAGCCGAGATCACGCCACTGCACTTCAGCCTGGGCAACAGAGTGAGACTCCATCTCAAAAAAGAAAAAAACAAAAGAGTTGAATCTTGTCAAAATTAAGATTCTCATGGAAAAGTCAATAACTTGCTATTTGTGAATTATTAACTTTTGTGCAGTGGTTATTACAGTAATCATGTTTACATGTTTTAAATTCAGATTACAATTATTTTCATTAAATATTTTAGTAGAAAGGACAAAGAAGTACCATATTACCAAATTGAAATTATATGCCAAATAATTATACTAAACAACAACCCCTAGAATTCCTAAAGTACAAATTCCAGTGGATTATAAAATTTGGGCTATTTGCTTCCTGGAGTAAAATATATATCAGGTGAGGCCCTCCTAATTGTAGATTTACAAAAAAGCCCAAAAACTCTTTCGTTATTTTCATTTAAGTTTCTGACACAGCTTTCTTGTAGCTTCTATGGGATGTTTTTATAGATAAAATTATAACAGTTATATCCAGAGATAATTATATTCAATCATTTCCAATTTAAATGGCTTTTATTTCTTTTTCCTGCCTCACTTCCTTGGCTAGAACTTCCAGGAAAATGTTGAAAAGCAATGTGAAAGCATATATGTCATTGTCATCTTCTAATCTTAAGGGGAAGCTATCAGTCTTTCACCATAGAATATGATGTTAGCTATGGGTTTTTCGTAAATGATATTTATCATGCTAAGGAAGTTCACTCTGTGCCTAGTGTGTTGAGTGTTTTTTATTATGAAAGAGCATTGAACTTTGCCAAGTGCCTTTTCTGTGTCTATTGAGATCATCATGTGTTGTTTTTTCTTTTATTAATGTGGTGCATCCCATTGATTATCTTTTATTGGACTGTCATTGCAATCCTTGAAAGAACTCCACTCAATTAAGATACATAATCCTATTAACATATTATTAAATTTAGTCTGCTAGTATTTTATAGAGAATATTTGCATTTGTATTTATAAGGGATTGTGGCCTTTAATTTTCTTGTCTTGTGCTTTTGTTGGATTTGGCATCAAGATAATTCTGGTCTCAAGATAATGCTGGCCTCATAGAACGTGTTAGGAATTATTTCCCCATATTCTATGTTTTTGAACGATGTTGACTAAGGTTGGTTTTATTCTTTGTCAAATGTTTGGCGGAATTCCCCAGTGAAGCCAAGTGGTCCTGGACTTGTTTGTATGAGGAAGTTCAGCTTCTTATTATACATTTGTTGAAAATTCTCTATTTTTTTTGTTTTTAAATTCGCTTTTCTAACTTTTATGTTTCTAGTAATTTGTCCATTTATTCTATATTATCTAATTTGTTGGCATACAATTGTAATATTCTTTTATAATCCCTTTCATTTCTCTGAAGTTGATAGTTTTGTCCTCACTTTTAAGTTTAGTTGTTTGTTCTTCACTCTTTTCTAGGTTAGCTAAATTTTGCCAGTTTGGTTGATGTTTTCAAAACAATAACTTCTGATTTTACGAATTCTCTTCATTTCTTTTTTCTATTCTCTATTTAATGTATGTGTACTGAAATATTTGCTTCTTCCTTTTTTTATTCTGAGTTTCTGTTTAGTTTACTCTTGTTTTTCTGCTTCCTTAATGTGTAAAACTACAGGCATCAATTTGAGATCCTCATATAATAATAGCATTTAGAGCTATTAGTTTCTTTTTGATCATGGCTATTGTGGCTCTCATAACATTTGGTATGTTGTGTTTTTGTTTTTATTTATCTCAAATTATTTTCTGTTTTCCCAGTGATTACTTTTTGATCCTCTGTTTAAGACTGTATTGTTAAATGTTCACATATTTGTGAATTTTCCCATTTTCCTTCTGCTATTTCTAATTTTATTCCAGCATGGATGGGAAAGGTGCTTTATATGATTTAAATTTGTTTTTAATATATTGTGAGTTGCATTTTGGCATAATAGATGGTCTATTCATGAGAATGCTCCATGTGCATTTCAAAAGGATGTATATTCTGCTGATATTCGGTAGCATTTTATAAATGTTTGTCATGCTTACAATGTTGTTCAAAATCTCTATTTCTTTATTAGTCTTCAGTTTACATATTCTATTCATTATTTAAAATGGTGTATTGAAGTTTCCAACTATTATTGTAGAACAGCATTTGTCTCTTTAATTCTGTCAATGTTTGCTTCATACATTTGAGGGTTTTGTTGTTGTTCTCATTACATAGGTTTGATAGATACAGATACATATGGTGCATATGTTTATAATTGTTATATTTTCTTGATGAATTAAAATTTTTATCAATATATAATGTCTTTGTCTTATATAAGTTTTTGACTTCGAATCTACTTTGTCTCACATTTTTATAGCTACTCTTCTTCCCTTTTGGGTATTTCCTATTTACATGGATTTTTTTTCCATTCTTTCACCTTTAATCTATTTGTATCTGTAGGTCTAAAATGAATCTCTGGAAAGCAGCATGTAATTGAAGTGTTTTATTGGCCGGGCACGGTGGCTCACGCCTGTAAACCTAGCACTTTGAGAGGCCGAGGCAGGCGGATCACGAGGTCAAGAGACAGAGACCATTCTGGTCAAAACGGTGAAACCCCGTCTCTACTAAAAATACAAAAATTAGCTGTGCGTGGTGGCGTGTGCCTGTAGTCCCACCTACTCGGGAGGCTGAGGCAGGAGAATCGCTTGAACCCAGGAGGCAGAGGTTGCAGTGAGCGGAAATCATGCCACCGCACTTCAGCCTGGCAACAGAATGAGACTTCATCTCAAAACAAACAAACAAAAATATAGACATATATATATACACATATGTAAATATGTTTTATTTATTTTGTCAATATACCTCTTAATTGGTAAGTTTAACCCATTTACATTTAGATAATGAATGTATTACTTGTCATTTTGTTATTTATTTTTATTTTTTTAGACTAAATTCCTTTAATCCTGCCTCTTTTTTGTTTGATTTTTTTTCTAGCGTACCCTTTGATTCCCTCTTTATTTTCTTTTTTGTACATTTTAAGCTATTTTTAGTGGTTGCCATTTTAAGCTATTTTTAGTGGTTGCCATGCAAATTAAAGTTAGCATCCTAAACTTATAACAATCTAGCTTGAATTGACTCCAAGTTAGCTTCAATAGCATACATTATTTTCACTCCTGTCCAATTTTGCCCCTTTGTTATTGTCCCAAATAACAATACATTATGTCTCCATTAACATGGAGTTAAAATTATTATTTTATGTATTTGATTTTTAAATAATATAGGAAACAAAAGAGATGCAAATCAAACCTACAATAATACAAGCTTTTATACATATCAATATGTTTACCTTTTTTTTTTATATTTTCATTTGGCTTCAAATTACTGTAAGTCCCTTGGTATCTGTTTTTCTTCTTTATTTTTTTTCTTTTTATTTTCTGCTCCTCAGAGTGGGTTATTTTAATGACTCCATCTTTAAGTTTGCTGATTTTTTGTGCCTCCTTAAATCTGCTGTTCTTCCCCTCTATTAATTTCTTTTCATTTATGCTATCATAGTTTTTAACACCATAATTTCTATTTGGTCCCTTTTAATAATGTCTTTTTTATTGATATTCTCTTTCATATACCTAGCTTTCTGTAGATAATTTTTTTATGATTTACTTTAGCTCTTTGAGCATATTTAAGAGAATGAAATGTTTTACTCTGTTTAATAAATGTTATGTATAATAACATAATGTTTAATATCAGGGCTTTCTCATGGATAGTTTATTTTCATCCTGTCAATGGGGCATATGTTGCTGTTTCTTTGTATGCTATGTCATCTATTTTTGAGAGCTTGACGTCTTAAATATTGTAAAGTGGTAATTTTGGAAATCAGATTTTCTCCCTCCCTGGAGATTGCTTTGATAGTTATTGAGACTGCAGTTACCTATTTCTTTAGGAACTTTTCTAAGCTATTTTGGCAAAGATGTATTTCTTTTTGTTGGTGGTCATTGAAGTTTCTGTCCTGGTATCTCCATAGTCAGCAAGTGACCTAAAATTTCCTTAAATAGTTGGACACAATAAGAAAAGAAAAATAACAAAGCTGTCTATTTCTTTATTTTGATGGTTGCCAATTGGGAAACTGCTTCCATCCAAGAGAGTTGAAACAATACTCAGCTCCATGCTGGTCCCTCAGTAAACCACCAATTTTTGTAGGAAAATGTCATTATTGCCCAACCTGTCATCAATATTTCACCCCAGGCTGGAATTATTCCCATAGCTGCCTGCCATACAGTTTGGGCATGGAGGATGGTAGCTGGTAGCTCAGTCTATTTATTTATTTATTTATTTATTTTTTGAGATGGAGTCTTGCTCTGTCATCCAGGCTGGAGTTCAGTGGCACAATCTCAGCTCGCTGCAACCTCTGCCTCCCGGGTTCAAGTAATTCTCCAGCCTCAGCCTCCTGAGTAGCTGGGATTACAGGCACGCACCACCACGCCCGGATAATTTTTGTATTTTTAGTAGACAGGGTTTCATCATATTGGTCAGGCTGGTCTTGAACACCTGACCTCGTGATCCATCTGCCTCAGCCTCCCAAAGTGTTGGGATTACTGGCGTGAGCCACGGCACGTGCCCAGCAGTCTCTTTCTTTATGAAGGAGTCATCTGTTTGCTACAAGTGCTCAACTAGACTCCTCCAATGTTCCAAAATAATTAATTCTGACAGTTCTTGCCAGATGAAGAGTTGTTTGGGTGGAAGAATCAACTCTCAGAGCTTCCAAATCTGCCATTTCCCAATATGTTATTATCTGTGTGATTATTTCATTATTATTTTTTTCAGTTATAATTTTTTTCTTCCTCAAAACATCCATCCAGTTCCTCCACCTGCTTATTGCATACTTCTCAAATTTTACAGTAAATTTGCATCTTTTTAGAGACCATTTTGCTATGAACTTGAAAAGTCTACTATTTCTTTTCCTTAATGATCTTTCTAGCTAATTTTGAAGAACATTTTATGTTTTAATTGTTGATTAAACAAATTTTTCTTCTTTCTTTTCTTTCTTTTCTTCTTTCTCTCTCTCTTTCTCTCTCTTTCTTTCTTTCTTTCTTTCTTTCTTTCTTTCTTTCTTTCTTTCTCTTTCTTTCTAGAAAGGGCCTCCCTCTGTCACTCATGTTAAAGTGTGGTGTTGCCTTCATGGCTCACTGCAGCTTCCAACTCCTGGTCTCAAGCCATCTTCTTGCATTAACTTCCTGAGTAGCTAGGGCTGCATGTCAAGATGCTAGCTAATTTTTCTTTTATTTTTTACGGAGATGGAGTCTGGCTATGTAGCTCAGGCTAGCTAATTGCTGATATTCTTCAGTGTTTTCTTATGTCCCAAATTGATTAATTTTCAGAAAAATTTCCAATAATCAGCATATATTAAATTACATATTACATTTCCCAGTAAATAATAAATCCGTAGTTGTTTCCAAACTCGCCATAAAAAAAAAAATTACCTTTAACTTGGTGGCTTCTAAAAGAGAACTTCTTTCAGTATCTGGAGAACAGAAATATGAAATCGAGTTGTTGCCAAGGTTGGATTTTATGGAGGCTGAGAGGGGAGGCACCTTTTCATGCTTCTCTCCTTGCTTCTGGTGGCTGACATGGCAATGCCTGTCATTCCTTGACTGAGGCCTACATAAGTCAGCCTCTATCTTTATATAGTCATCATTTCTCTGTGTGCCTATTTCTGTTCTTCCTCTTATTATGAGTACTTGTCATTGGATTTAATCCCCACCCTATTTCAGGATGATCTCTTATCAGTGGATGCTTAGAAGCTACAAAGCCTCATTCTGAATAAGGTCATGTTTTGAGTTTCTGAGTGGACATATTTTGAGGAGCCACAATTCAACCACGACACATCAGTATTCTTATTTTGTACTGACTTTTTCTTAAAGCATCAAATGTTGAAAACTCATTTTTTTCTTACAAAATTGATTGGCTCTTCTTAAATGTAATTCGATTTTAATTCATCCTTATGATGTTATATTGCTTACAGTATTTAATATTGTCATAACATGTAATGTTACTCCCCACCTACTCTGTCTTGTTTTTAAATGAGATTACATGGGAAGTATTAAATTATCAGATTGCTTGTAGATACACTTACAGTATAACTACTATACTGTTTTGTCAATATATTTAAATATAATAAATTAAAAAATATATTTTTTCCATTAGTGTCATGGGATATATAAATAACAGGAGATTTTTAGTGAGACAAACATAAAGTGAAATACAGATTACAATTTACTACTAATGTAAACTTCAAAAGGTTTTTCTTTTGTATTAATCTATGTATCAGTTTAAAAATCCTATTTACTAATTAAGTAGCATACTCAATTAACCAAAAAAAATTTATTTGAAAACAGTGCAATTGTTATTTTTCAACTTACTTCATTATTTTATCCTGTTAATGTTACAATTTTTCTGGTTCTTGTCTCATATTTAGAACTTATCAATTGTTTACCTCTGTATTCATAAAGAAGTTGTGGTTGCTAGATGAGTGATTAAGAGTTCCTAAGTCAGTTCTTCATACTTTTTCTTTTGCTAACAATGTTTACCATTCTTTCAATAAAAGAAATGCATACACAGTTAATGCAGGAATTATAGAAAATAGAAAATATATTAATTCTATAATCCCTTGAAAAGAGGGAGCTTTTTATTGTACAAGTAGAATTAAATATAAGTAAACAAATAACCTGGAAAATGATTTCATTTTATTGAAAATACTCATGGGAATAAGTTCCTGAGACAAGAATCTAATATCATTAAAATTACATGGCAAGGACTAAATATGTAATTAATTTATTATTAACAAATTTTACTTAAACACACATTTGACATTTAGCATGTAAGCTACCATGCTGTTTATAACACTTAACACACATATCAAGTGTCAATTAGCAGTTTAGGGATTAATTGCTATGAAATTGATTTGTCAGAGATTAGTATTTAAATGTTAATGTATCAAAATTCGTTGCAATTACAAGCCAAATATAAAATTTAGTCAAGTGAACATTTATTATTCATATTATGTGTGAAATAAACAATAGTAAAATAATTTTCTGAATATATATGAATAGTGGAAGTTCTTTTAAAATAAAGTAATTCATATAGAATAATCACATTTTATGTCAGTGTTAAATAATCAATGTCTTATTATTGATAATATTTCAGAACCTTTAAATTATTCTTTATATTATATATTTTCATTATCCAAATTGTTCTAAAAATATATAGTGCAACAAGCTAGAGTTTATCTGCAATGGTTACAGATAAAAGATGGAGCCAGAAAGTATGATTGCATAGAAAAAGCAGATATTGAGAAACAGAACATAACTTTAGAATTAACTTGTAATCCATTTACTGTGTTTTATTTATGGCCTAGAAAACAGCTGCTCTATATTTAGATCGGCATTTCATTGAAACTATTCCCACTGTGCGCAGTAACAACCCCAGCTAAAACTGGCTTAGATGAAGATTATGTCTCATGTAAAGTATTGTCTTGTAAAGTATATGTCTATGTAAAGTGTATGTCTATGTAAAGTATATGTCTTATCTAAAGTATTGATTATTGTCTTATGTAAAGTATAGTGATGCCTAATACCATGGCATTAGGAGATTAAGAATTTCTCTTTCTCTGTCTGTCTCTTGCTCTGACTCATTTTAGTTTTTGCTTTCCTTTATGTTGACATTACTCTCAGGGAGGTTCTCAACCTGATGCCTGTTCTCTGACTTAGATTTTATTTTCCTGAGAGTTAAAAATCATACATTTCCTTCCTAGACAATTAAATAAAATCCTACGATTGAAATTCATCACATGAATCAGGTAATACATGCATACTATCTCTGAACAAATAATTATGGCCAGTGAATAAATGTTCTTACTTACATGTTAACTAAATCACATGTTCACTGCCAGTGTTCCCTGAAATATCTGAAATGTAAAACCAGAAAAAAGAAAGAAAGAAGGAAGGAAAGAAGGAAGGAAGGAAGGAAGGAAGGAAGGAAGGAAGGAAGGAAGGAAGGAAGGAAGGAAAGAAGGAAAGAAGGAAAGAAAGAAAGAAAAAGAAAGAAAGGAAAGAAAGAAAAGAAAGAAAGAAAGAAAAGAAAGAAAGAAAGAAAGAAAGAAAGAAAGGAAGAAAGAAAGAAAGAAAGAAAAAAGAGAAGAGAAAGACAGACTATGGAACAGAAAACAAACTTAAAAAACTTCAACTGTAAAATGACTTGTTGGTTTACCTCTGCATTACTTCTTGATATGATTTGGCTCTGTGTCCTGATCCAAATCTCATCTTGAATTATAATCCCCACATGTCCAGGGAGGGACCTGGTAGGAGGTGATTGGACCATGGGGACAGTTTTCCCCATGCTGTTCTCATGACAGTGAGTGAGTTCTCATGAGTTCTGATGGTTTAAAAGTGTTTGGCAGTTCCCCATCTCTCTCTCTTTCTCTCATTCCACCACATAAGATATGCCTTGCTTCCCATTCGCCTTCTGGGATGATTGTAAGTTTCCTGAGACCTCCTCAGCCATGTGGAAGTGTAAGTCAGTTAAACCTCTTTTGTTTATAAATTACCCAGTCTCAGGGAGTTCTTTACAGCAGTATGGAAATGCTCATACACTTCTTTTGTTTCAATTATTAATTGAATTATAACTCATACTGTAAATACCAATGTCAGTTTAAAAAATCTGGAATATTCTAAATACTTTTATCAGAATAAGGACAATATATAAGGGTGGCAAAAGTCATACATGTCCACTAGAAGAACAGATCTCACCTAGCCATTTCTAATGACACAGTCTAGGAACAATAAAACTCAGTTCTAAATATAAACAATAGTAGAGAAGTACTCTTGGTCTAATAAGATACAGCTGTAGGCTGAAAACACATACTGCCTACCAGTTGTATTATAACAGTTCTAAAAGAAAAGCATGCATATATAATTATGTGTGTATACTTTAAAATTATGCCACAACATCTCCCAAGAACTGGATATAGGGTAAACACTGAACTTTCCCTCTATGGCAATAATCCACAATAATTGAGTGACAGCTCCCCCTTCAGTTTGAACACCCTCTCTTTAAATTGCTGTGCTTCTCATCACTCTCTCTATATTCTCTACAAAAGAGCCAGGTTCAGCTTATTAATTTTTCTTATAGATTAATAGATTTATAGATGCTTGACTCTATTGAAAGGAAATACAACAAATCAAAGAGCAATGACTGTCTCTATGTATCATGGACTGAATTGTGTTCCTCACAAACCCCCATATTTAATCCATTTGTTGAAGCCCTAACTTCCAGTGTATTTGGAGATAGGGCTTTTAAGTAGGTTATTAAGCTTAAAGAATGTTATAAGGGTGGAGCCCTAACCAACAGGACCGGTGTCTTTATAAAAAGAGGAAGAAGCACCAAATATCTTTCTGTGTGTGTGTGTGCACACAGAGAAACACCACGCAAGAACACAGAAAGAAGTTGCTATCTGTAAGCCAAGGAGAGAAGCCTCACCAGAAACCAACTCTGCTGGCATCATGATCTTGGAATTCCAGCATCCAGAACTGTGAGAAAATGAATTTATTTTGCTTAATCTACCCAGTCTGTGGTATTTTCTTACGGCAGCCTGAGAGGACTAATACACGATGCCAGGGAATATAATATTTGTGATTCTTTTTAATTATTTTCTGGTATTCAATATTATTCATATACTAATCGTCATTGTCACATCTTTACAGTTGGATGTTGAATTCATCCCATACTATTGAACTAGTCTTTTTTCTATCCTTTGTACTGACTAAACTTGTTTCTAACATGTCTTTGAACTTCTTTCTTCCTTTCACTTGGTGTAACCTGTTTGTAAAACTTTAAATTCCTGGCTCTTCTCAGATATAAAATCGTTTCCTCACAAGTGTTATCTTTTCCAAACAACCATAAAATACCTGCCATCTACTAAATCACTAATTTAATATAATCATTCTAGATAACCCATTACATTCAATGAGTGTCTATTCATGACACTGTTTAATTTACTTACTATGACAAGTTTCTATCTGAGATTATTTTTATTCACTAATTATTTTAAATGTATTTTGTCACTCTTACACATTTAGAAGGGCAGATAATTGCAAATTTATAAACATAAATTTGGAATATATTTTAACTGCTATAGAAAATGATTAGAGATCCTTGAACAGAAGATATAGGATTTACATAATACTCTCTAAATAAACTCCTAAAAGAATTTAAAACATCTCAAACAAGTGATACAACTTTATATGAGCAATTTGAAGACATTTTCTAAAACTGTGGGACAGTAACTAGGACTATAGCAACTGTCAAAGGAATGTGAAATATTTTAAGTTAACAAGTGTTTTAGGGTTTCGAAATATTCTGGTTGAAATGTTAGAATAGTATTGGTTAACAAGTGGAAAACAGAAATAATAAGAAAAAATAACTGAGGAAAAAGTAAAATTTGTGTGTATTTAGAAGAGAAAAACTAAAGGTTTATACATTTGATTCCTAGAAACAACTGTACCTAGGCTTATTTAAGAGAGGTCATGAGTAAACCTATAATGGTCATAATGTGTTTGTGTGTTGTCAGAATTCCTTATTGGAGTTACCTAGTTGGTAGATAGAATTTTATAAATAAATACTGGGAGTAAAGACATTTTTGAAGAAATGAATATAAAATTTATAGACACTAAATGACACTATACATTATCAGGAAAATATAACCTAAATCACATATGCTAAAAATCTGAAGAATATAAATCACAGAAGCTTCGTGTAACAATTTCAAATAATGAAAAGAAAAAAACACAAATTTTAAAATGCAACATACATCCAAAAAATTCAGGACATGAGGAATAAAGAAATAAAGGGAAAGCAAGGTGTCTATAGATCACAAAATGCTATGTTACAAGTGACTTTAAACAAATCAGTAATTGCGATAAATATAAATATTATACTCATAATAAATTACAGTCTAAGTGCCTTTAAAAATGATTTTAAATTTACTTATGTAGTTTAGTAGATTTAAAACTTAATATATGCATATAAGTATTTAAAGAGAAAAAATATTTTTGTCTTTTGTTTGAGAGATCTTGAGTAATTTATAAGTTTATCCAGAGAAAACTATACAATCCAGAATCATATTAAAAGTAATTGGTGATTTAAATTTTTAAAAATTTAATAGTATGGCTAAATATATGAAACTTTTTTCAAGTGATAAACTATCCTTAGATTCCTGGTAAGTGTAATTCATATAATTAACCATATTATCTGGCTAAAATGAAAACAAAATCATCTCAATATATGTTAAAAAGTAATTTAATAAGATTCAATAATTGATAACTCAATAGCATAGGAACAAACACACATTTTAATGTGAAATAATTAATTCTATCTTGATATCAATATAAATTATCAGTAATTATTGTTGTGGTCACACCGCAGAGGCAGAATGGTTTTCTCATTCAAAAGTAGTTCATATGTCAAGACAGATGATCACACACACACACACACACACACACACACACACACACAATAAATTTATAGCAGAGTGAGGTTTTCCAAGAAGATCTGGGAAGACTTCTAAGCAGACTTAAAAATAACAAGAGAATGAGCAGGAGCAATAAGAATACACTGTATTAATGGGGTCAGGCTTTAGACCCAATTTAGCTTTAACTGTCTTGGTTATTTACTGGGTTAAGGGGTGAGGTTTCACATTCATGTATAGGACCAGGCTTGTGTGGATTAGACTTCTCACCAGTGCCCAGAGCAGCAGTGCACAGGCTTTTTCTTTTTTTTTTTTTTTTTCAATCAATTTGCTCAGATTTTTTTTTAAATCAGCTTGCTCAGAAGAAGAGATGGAGTGATTCAGCTTTAATGCTTTTAGCGGTAAAACATCAGCAATAGAGTCAAAATATTTGTTACAACTATGTCAATATCTATTTTTATGTAGATAGATGTTAATCAAAAAACTAAATATTCTCATAATGTTCAGGTGTAAGACATAAATTTCAAAAACCTTCAGTATAAATTAATAGAGATATGAATACATATTTTGAAGCTAAAGAAAGAAATAAAAGCTTTAAAAAAAGAACAGTAAGTAAATTTATGATTATAGTGATATAATTGATAATCTGAAAAATTCAAGAAAAATTTTGAAAGCTATTATTAAAAGCAGGATATATGGGTTAAAATAAAAATAATTAAAAAGCAATAGCATTTCTATATAAAATAATTAGTAATTCAACATAATGAATAAGAAGACTCCTTTTTCAATAGCATGATGAAAAATACAGTTACCTAAAATAAATTTTAAAAGACTGAGCAAGCTATATAAAATCACACACATACACACACACTGAGGTGAAATTCAGGAACTCAACAATAGTTCAAACAATGGAAACACATAGTTTGTGTAGAATAGATACACCAGATATATTCAAATCATTTTATACATGTAATACAATTCCAATGAAAATATCAAGAATGTTTATACACATAGCATGCTGATAGAAGACTGAATATAAAAAGGTAAACAAATTCTGAAAATGTAGAATTATGAGAGGAGCAAGAGTTCAGAAATACAGCCCAGTTCATAGAGTATGTAGTATGTTACAAGTAGGTTTTGAATATTATAGCAATTATTGAAGAAACAATTAAATACCCATGTAGAAAAAGCATATGTAAAATATTAGATCCTTACTTCACTTGTTAGAACCACCACCACCACAACAAAAATTCCAAAATGATCAAAGGCTTAATTATACTAAATAAAAATAAGGGGAATCAACACTTTTAATCTCAAAATTGACAAGGCTTTTCTAAGTAAGTTGTAAAACTCAAAATTAACAAAAAAAAATTATTGAATTTTACTGCATCTCCTAGCAAAATAACATGCAAATTAGTAAGAAAAATGTAAAAAGTTAATCATGAATTATTTTGTAACAGAAATGTTAATCATCACTTAAATGCTTATCAAGAGGAAAGAGTTAAATAAAATGTGATATAGATAAGAAGAGGACATTACATATGAGGAAAAAGGAGATATTCTACCATTATAGGTAGTCCTTGTAATCATTTGTTGTATGTAAAACAAGGTAAATAACGGTACAATTTGAGGTAATTTATATACAAATAAAACATAAAGATAACATACGTTTTGTATAGTTATGTAACTGATTAGAAAATGTATTGCCTTTTGGAGGAGAACAAAAGGAGCTGGGACTAAGGGAAGTTATCAGACAACTTATGTATTGTGTGTAATATTCTAGTATTTTTGAAGGATAGCTATATGATATTTGTGTTATTAAATATGTTTAACATTTAATATTAAATTTAAGGTCATAAATTGGATGGAAGAAAAATATGTAAACAAGGAGAAGGTGAATTACAGAAACTTAGGGAAACTGTATTTGGATAAAGTGAAAGTTAGAAGAGAACAGAGAGGAAGTGGCAGGAATAGCTGAGAGGTAGTGCTGCCAGGAGAATCAAATGCTTACAGATATAAGGAGAAAGAGTCAAGAAAGTGGTCAACAGTGGCACATGTTTTAAGGAATAAAGTTTCTGAAAACTAAAGATCTAGGAGATCAAGGCAAAAGTTAGGATAGTAGTAGAAAGTCACATTACAAGCATTTTAAACAGCAGGTTGGAAATGAGGTAATAGGTCATTGAAAGCACTCTCACTGTTTTGATAAATTGTTTTAATCATCTCTATAGTTCTTTGTATGCTACAGTCACTGGCCCTTAATTTATATTTATTTAATCCTCACAACTTTTGCTACTACTATTATCGCTGTTTTAGGCATGAGTAAACAGAGTACTAGACAATAGTAAAGTGAGGTTACTGACTCCCTGCAAGTCGCACAGCTAGTTAATGCTGGTGCCAGATCCAAACTACAGAGTCAGGGCTTTTACTTAGTGAAGATGTTCTATGTTATACTGCATGATGTCAAATACCAGTTGAGATGAGAAGAGGCTGAATCTGTAATTGTGATTATATGGATGGGGTGATAGACTAAACAAATTTATCTTTTTCTGATTTTTGTGAGGGGAAATATATTTTTGGTCAGAGTAGACTGAAGAAACAATCCAAAGTTTACAAATTGGGAGATCCATGAGAACTTATTTATAAGTACACTCTGGGTTGCAAAACAGGAGATGAGCTTAAGGGTATAAGTGGGATAAAACAGTATATATATTCTGTTTGCCAGGTGCCTTCATGACACTAGCAGGTTACCCTTAGGAAACAGGTACCCCAAGTTAGGATTATTTTTTCCTAGACTGCTTCTCCTGCTCTTTCTCTTGCTAACCTACTACAAATACTTGATGCTTTGTTTATTTAGTTATTTATTCTCTGCAATCAGTGACATGTTAAAACAAGATTCTAGGTGCTGAAAATTCAATACTGAGTAAAAATACAAAAGCTCTACCACAAAGCACAGTCGATGATAAAGCAACCTTAGCTAGGTGACAGAGTGCAAGATTTTGCTCTAGGACCAGGAGTAATACTAGGTGCTCTTTAATATGGCAACATGGGATTTAGAGGTAAGGTAGCCTGTTAAGAGTCAGGCAAGATAGCCTTTCCTAAAGTATAAAGTGACAATGAGCAAAGCTTCTTTCAGGAATCTCTCTACACCATTTGCAGTTCTTTTCTTCTATTGCTTTTCTATGTGTTGGATATATCTCCTTTGAGCTTCCTGAATTGAATCTTTTCATTTTCTCTACCTCTGTGTATTAAACATATACAATGAGATCAGATTCCTATCCATCAAGCTCTTTAAGTTTATAAATAGCTTTTTTAAAAAATAAATTCTTACTGAAAGTCTACATATGCCAACAATACATTTGTTATCTTTTAAATTTGAGGCAGGGGATCATGCTGAACCTATTTACAAGTGAAATGTGCCACATGATAATTTTACATCCAAACCATTGTACCTTTACAACTACGATTTTACCTTTGTAATATTCTAAGGTTTTACTCATATAAATCAAACTTAAAATTTTGAGAATTTTGGTTGCAATAGACAGTGTCTGTAAGTCACTCCTCTGTAGGGTTATAATGAAAAGAAAGAACTAAAAATAGGAGTAAAAAGAAACAAAAGCATCAACCTGGACAGGCTGAAATAAGACATTATTTGTATGTGGTATGAAATCTGCAGATCCATGAAAAAATCTGAAAGAGAGGAAGCAGAGAACTTATCCATGCCCACCTGAAACAGCTAAGGTGGAGGAAGCTTCTATTGGCTCTAAATTGATCCTTTGTGCACAACAGCTATTTCTAAGAAAAACAGACTTAGGGGAGAGGGGGTGCTGATTCATAATTTTGATTAATATTAATCATAATCTCAGATAAGATTAGAATATTTGGTCAAAAGGTGAAACAAATAATCATATTTGTTCAACAAAAGTAAAAAGATTTTACTAGTGCCTCAGTGTAAATGAAAGGAAGAGAATCTTTAAAACAACTTTTAGTAAACAAGTAATGATATACTTGATGGCAAAATTAAAATGTCATTTTGCAGCCTTTGGTTACATTTCAGTAAATGTAAAGTTACTTATAAAGGATTACTGTAACTTTATTAATATTTATTTTGTTGACTATATTTTTGAAGTTATTTAAAGGTCACTTGAATTCATATATCAAATTCACCAGTGCCTCTAGACAACTATCTAGAAGAGGAATGGAGTATTGACCATGATTACTCCCTACCTAGTCAGTCATTCTTAGTTGTAAGATCTAAGTGAGATTTTTCTTATAAATATTTTATCCCCAACACATTTCTTGAAATCAAGAGATCTCATATACAATATATGTTTATTACATAATTTTACATGGTTTATCTGCTGTTCAAGTAACAAACAACAAATACAAATTTGTTGAGCTCCATACCAAGTACTGAGAATTTCAAAGTTGAACAGGCTAGATGTGTTGTTTGACATAAAGAAACTTAGAAACTACTGGTGTAATATATTCTAAGTCTAACGTAAAAAATGCAATTCCAATGCACAATATATAGGTGATCATAGTTTTCTGGGGGCTTAATACATTGTGTATTGTAGGGGTTAATAATGATATATGGTTAGTAATGATATTTGAGAAGAAGTGTCTGAAATAAGGGAAATTTAGGATAAATGGGCTTAGCATAAAGAGGGAAAGAGGAGATGAGAATATTCCTAGCAGAAGTTATAGAGCAAAAGTTTATAGCAAAGGTAAGGATTACCAAGGAACCCAAAGATTTGTGTAAATTAAGCATAAAATAGTAGTATTCAGAGTATAAGATAAGCAGGAGATAGACTGAGCATGTGGAGGGAGGAATTGTGAATACTGCCTGGGTTTCTTGACATGTCTTTTTAAGTTGTTTAAAAATTCATTGTAAAAATAAGATTATACTGTTGAAATGTAAGTATTTTTGTCCAATTATGAATGCACATGTTCATTATTTCATGCCACTACTGATAAACTCATACCTCACAATTTAACATAACTTTACCTAGTTACATTAAATATATGGAATGAATTTAGGAAACATGTTATAAATTCTAATTCAGTTTTGCTTGACAGCTACATTTATAATACTTTGCTTTATTGTGCTTCCCAGATATTATGTATTTTACAAATTGAAAGTTTGTGGCAAGACTGCATCTTGAAAGTTTATCAGCACAATTTTTCCAACAGCATGTGCTCAATTTATATCTCTGTACCTCACATTTGGTAATTCTTGCAGTACTTCAAACCTTTTCATTATTAGCATATCTGTTATAGATCCTTATTCTCTTCAGCCAAAGCCTAGTCCAGAGTAAGACCCTAAGTCTTTTCAGTTCTGTGATAACTGAGACAGATGAGGAAGCTGCAGAGGAAAAGTTGGAAGTAAATAAAGTTAGTTCACAGGGTATAAAGAAAGACATTGTATTAATTTGTTTTCATACTGCTATAAAGAACTGTTTGAGTTTGGGTAATTTATAAAGAAAAGAAGTTTAATTGACTCACAGTTCAGCATGGCTGGGGAGTCCTCAGGAAACTTACAGACATGGCAGAAAACAAAGAAGAAGCAAGGCACCTTCTTCACAGGGCAGCAGAAAAGAGAAGTGCCATATAAAACCATCAGATCTTGTGAGAACTCATTCACTATCAAGAGACTAGTGTGCGGGACATTGCCCACATGATTCAATTACCTCCACCTTATCTCTCCCTTGACATGTGGTGATTATGGGAATTATGGAGGTTACAATTCAAAATAAGATTTGCTTGGGGACATAAAGCCTAACCACATTAGATGTCACATCCATAATATAAAAATACAAGGTAAGCTTCTAGTGCTGATGAAAAGTTGAAGGAAGTTATCCAGAGGATCTAGCTAAGATAATTGATGAAGGTGGCTACACTAAACAACAAATTTTCTTTTTATAACCTTTATTTTAGGCTAGCAGGGACATGTGAAGGTTTGTTATACAGGTAAACTTGTGTTATAGGGGTTTACTGTATAGATTATTTCATCACCCAGGTATGAAGCCTAATACCCAATATATATTTTTTCTGCTCCTCTCCTTCCTCCAACCTTCTACCGTCAAGTGGACTCCAGTGTCTGTTGTTCCCTTCTTTGTGCTCATGAGTTCTTATAACTTAGCTCCCACTTAGAAGTGAGAATATGTGGTATTTGGTTTTCTGTTCCCATGCTGGTAAAGGATAGCAGCCTCCAGCTCCATCCATGTTCTTGCAAAAGACATGATTTTATTCTTTCTTATGGCTGCATGGTAATCCATGGTATATATGTACCACATTGTCTTTACCTAATAGAACATTGATTGGATAAATGTTAATTCCATGGATTAAGTTGATTCCATGTCTTTGCTATTGTAAATAATGCCACAAGGAACATTCACATGCATGTTTGTGGTAGAATGATGTATATTTCTCTGGGTAAATGCGTAGTAATGGGATTGCTGGGTCAAATGGTAGTTTTGTTCATAGCTCTTTGAGGAATCACCATACTGTTTTCCACAATGGTTGAGCTAATTTACATTCTCACCAACAGTGTATAAGTGTTCCCTTTTCTCCACAACCTTGCCAGATGTCTTCAAGGCCCATCTCACACATAATTACACCCATGGGCTCAAAATTAAAACAAAAACAAAAACAAAAAAAATATTAAAAAGCATAGGTTGCAATCCTAATTTCAGACAAAACAGACTTTAAAACAAAGATCAAAAAAGACAAAGAGGGCATTACATAATGGTAAAGTGTTCAATAAGAACCCTAACTATCCTAATTATATGTGTACTCAACACAGGAGGAGCACATAGATTCATAAAGAAAGTTCTTAGGAATCTACAAAGGGACACAGACTCCCATACAATAATAGTGGGGGACTTCAACACCCCATTGACAGTATTAGACAGTTCATCGAGGCAGAAAATTACAAAGATATTCAGGACCTAAAATCAACATTAGACCAAATGTGTATGACAGCTTTCTATCAGTACTCTCCACACAAAAAACAACAAAATATACATCCTTCTCATTGCCACATGGCATATACTCTGAAATTGACCACATAATTTGACATAAAACAATCCTCAGCAAATGAAAAAGAACAAAAATATCACAAAACACATTCTTGGACCCCAATATAATGAAAGTCAAAGTCAAGAATAAGAAAATCACCCCAAGCCATGCAATTATATGGAAATTCAACAACCTGCTCCTGAATGACTTTTGGACAAGTAATACAATAAGGCAGAAATGAATAAGTTCTTTGAAACTAATAAGAACAAAGATACAACAAACCAGAATTTTTGGGACACAGCTAAGGCAGTGTTAAGAGGAAAATTCATAGCACTATATGCCCATATCGAAAAGTTAGAAAGACCTCAAATTAACAACCTAACATTACAAGTGAAAGAATTAGGGAAGCAAGAACAAATCAACCTCAAAGCTACCACAAGACAAGAAATAACCAAAATCAGAGCTAAAATGAAGAAAAATGAGATATGAAAAACTATTCCAAAGGCCAACAAATCTAGGAGTTGTTTTTCTGAAAAAAATAATGAAATAAATAGGCTGTTAGCTAGGTGAATTCAGAAGAAAAAAGAGAATATACAAATAAACACAATTAGAAATGACAAAGGGGATGTTACTACTGGCCCAACAGAAATAAAAATAACCATCAGAAACTACTATAAACACCTCCATGTATACAAACTAGAAAGCCTAGAAGACATGGATAAATTCTTGGACACATGCACCCTCCAAAGATTGAAATAGGAAGAAATTGACTCCCTGAATATACCAATAATAAACTCTAAAATTGAATCAGTAATAAACAGCTTACCAACCAAAAAGAAAAAAAAAACAAAACAAAACTAGAATCAGATAGTTTCACAGCTGAATTCCACTAGATGTACAAAGAAGAGCTGGTACCATCCCTCCAGAAACTATTTCAAAAAAATTGAAAAGGAGAGATTCCTCCCCAACTCATTCTATTAGACCAGCATCATCATCCTGATACCAAAACCTGACAAAGACAGAACAAAAATGAAAGCTTCAGAGCAATATCCTTGATGAACATCAATGCAAAAATCCTCAAGAAAATACTTGCAAATCAAATCCAGCAGCACATCAAAAAGCTAATCCACCATTATCAAATAGGCTTCATCCCTGGGATGCAAACCTGGTTCAACATATGCAAATCAATAAAAGTGATTCATCACATAAAAAGAACTCAAGACTAAAAATCACAACATTATCTCAATAGATACAGAAAAGGACTTCAATAAAACTCAACATTCCTTCATGTTATAAACTCTCGATTAACTAGGCATTGAAGGAATATACCTCAAGATGTTAAGAGCCATCTATGACAAACCCACAACCAACATCATACTGAATGGACAAAAGCTGGAAGCATTCCCCTTGAAAACTCGCTCAAGACAAAGATGCCCTCTTTCACCATTGCTATTAAACGTAATATTGGAAGTCCTTGCCAGAGCAATCAGGCAAGAGGAAGAAATAAAGCATATTCAAATAGGAAGCAAGGAAGTCAAACTATACTTGTTTGCAGATAACATGATTCTATATCTAGAAAACCCCATAGTCTCAACCCAAAAGCTTCATCAGCTGATAAACAACTTCAGCAAAGTGTCAGGATACAAAATCAACATACAACAATTACTAGCATTTCAATATACCAACTACAGTTAAGCTAAGAGCCAAATAAAGCAGGCAATCTCATTTACAATTGCCAGAAAAAGAAAAAAAATACCTAGGAATACATTTAACCAGGGAGGTGAAAGATCTCCACAGTGAGAATTACAAAACACTGCTAAAAAACAAAAAATTAGTGAAGACACTAATAAATGGAAAACCATCTTATGCTCATGGATAAGAAGATTCAATATCACTAAAATGGCTATACTGCCCAAAGCAATTTACTGATTCAAAGATATTTCTATCAAACTACCACGGACATTTACAGAACTAGAAAAACTATTTTAAAATTCATATGGAACCAAAAAATTACCCAAATAGCCAATGCAATTCTAAGCAAAAGAAAGAAAGCTGGAGTCAGCACGTTACCCAAATTCAAACCATACTACAGGCTTACAGTAACCAAAACAGCATGGTACTGTTACAAGTACAGTCACACGGGCCAATGGAACAGAATAGGGAGCCCAGAAATAAGGTTGCACACCTATGACCATATGATTTTCAAAAACACTAACAAAAAACAAGCAATGGAGAAAAGACTCCCTATTCAATAAATGGTGATGGGTTAACTAGCTAGCCATATGCAGAAGATTGAAGCTGGACTCCTTCCTTACACCATATACAAAAATCAGCTCAAGATGGATTAAAACCCTTGAAGACCACCTAGGGATGGGCATAGGTTTCATGACAAAGACACCAAAAGCAATTGCAACAAAAGCAAAAATTCACAAATAATATCTAATTAAACTTAAGAGTTTCTGCATATTAAAATAAACTATCAACAGAGTAAACAGATAATCTACAGAATGGGGAAAGATTTGCAATTTATGTATCTGAAAAAGATCTAATATCCAACATCTATAAGGAACTTAAATTTACAAGAAAAAACAAACACCCCATTAAAAAGTAGACAACAGACATGAACAGTCACTTTTAAAAGAAGACATACATGCAGCCAACAAGCATATGAAAAAAAAATTCAATACCACTGATCACTAGAGAAATGAAAAGCGAAACCACAATGAGATGCCATCTCACACCAGTCAAAATGGCTATTAGTAAAAAGCCAAAAAATAACAAATTTTTAATGTAGAATATAATAATCATAACTAGAGAGGAGAAGTCAGTTCTTGGGGTCAAAGCTTCAAAGGACAGACTGACTCTCTTGGTAGGAGCTAATGCAATTTGCAACTTTAAGTTGAAGCAAAAGCTCATTTACCATTTTGAAAATACTAGGTCCCTTAAGAAGAATTATTCTGAATGTACTCTGCCTGTGCGCCATACATGGAACAACAAAGTCTCATTGACATGACATGGCATCACATCACATACAGAATAGTTTACTGAGTAGTTTAAGCCCATTGTTGAGATCTACTCAGAAAAGATTCCTTTCAAAATATTACTGCTCGTTGACAATGTGTCTGGTCACCCAATAGCTCTGACAGAGATGTTCAAGGAGATTAATTTTGTTTTCATACCTGTTAACACAACATCCAATTTGCAGCTTATGGAATAGGAAATCATTTAGACTTTCAAGTCTTATTATTTAGGCAATATTCCACATAAGGCATTAGCTGCCATGGAGAGTGATTTCTATGATAGATTTTGGCAAAGTAAATTTACAATGTTATGAAAAGAAGCATTCTAGATGCCACTAAGAATGTTGGTGATTCATGGGAATTCAAAATATCAATATCAACAAGAGTTTGCAACGAGTTGATTTCAGCACTCTTGAATGATTTTGAAGAATTCCAGACTTCAGAGGAGGAAGTAACTTCAGATATGATGGAAATAGCAAAGAAACTAGAGTTACAAGTGAAACCTTAAGCTGTAACAGAATTATTGCAATCTCATAAAAGTTTAATGTATGAGGAGTTGCTTCTTATGGACAAGCAATGAAAGTGGTTTCTTGAGATGAAATCTACTCCCAGTGAAGATGTTGTGAGCCTTGTTGAAATGACAACCAAGGATTTAGAATATTATATAAACTTACTTGAGAAAGCAGCAGCAAGGCTTGAGAGGATTGATTCCAATTTTTAGGGTAAATACTGAGGGTAAAATGCTATGAAATTGTATCACATGCTACAGAGAAATTTTATTTAAAAAAAGGGTCAATTGATATGGCAAGCGTCACTTCTGCCTCATTGTAAGCAACTTAGCAACTTCCACAGCCACCACAAACTTCAGCAACCATGATCCTGATAAGTCACCAGCTACTAATATTTGAGGCAAGACCCTCCAACAGCAAACAGATTATGACCTGTTGAAGTCTCAGATGGGTGATTGTTGCCTCTTCCTCCCAAAGTTCTGAGATTAGAGGGGTCAGCCACGATGTCAGGCCCTTTCTAGTTCTTTTTTTTTTTTTTTTTTTTGAGATGGAGTCTCGCTTTGCCACCCAGGCTGGAGTGCAGTGGCACAATCTCAGCTCACTGAAATCTCTGCCTCTTGGATTCAAACAGTTCTCTGCTTCAGCCTCGTGAGTAGCTGGGATTACAGGCACCCACCACCAGGCCTGGATAATTTGTGTATTTTTGGTAGAGACGGGGTTTCACCATCTTGGCCAGGCTGGTCTTGAACACCTGACCTCTTGATCCACCCACCTCAGCCTCCCAAAGTGCTGGGATTACAGGCGTGAGCCACCGCATCTGGCCTCTAGTTCTTTAAAACACATCACTAGGCTGTTTATGTGAAGTGTTTCTACTTTCATAAGTGATACATAGCTGTAAACTCTCCTCTTAGTACAGCTTTTACTGCATCTCATAGGATTTGATATATTGTGTTTTCATTTGTTTCAAGAAATTTTTAAATTTCCTTCCTAATTTCTTCATTGACCCACTGTTATTCAGGTGTATATTGTTTAATTTTCAATGTTTTTATAGTTTTCAAAATGTTCCTTGGTATTGATTTCTAGTTTTATTCCATTGTAGTCAGAGAAGATACTTGATATGTTTTCAACTTTTTTGAATTATGTAAGATTTGTTTTGTGGCCTCACATATGGTCAGTGCTTGAGAATGTTGCATGTGCTGAAAGGAATAATGTGTATTCTGTAGCTGTTGGATAAAATGATGTGTAAATATCTCTTATGCCTATTTGGTCTATACTGCAGATTAATTCCAAGTTTTTTTGTTGATTTACTTGGCCAGAATATCTGTCCAGTGCTGAAAATGGAGTGTTGAAGTCTCCAGGCTTTATTGTATTGTAGTTTATTTCTCTCTTTATCTCTCATAGTATTTGCTTAATATATCTTGATGCCCCAGTGTTGACTGCATAGATATTGATAATGGTTCCATTATTTTACTTAATTGACCTGTTGTCATTATATAATAACCTCCTTTGTCTCTTTTTACAGTTTTTTGCTTGAAATCTATTTTGTCTGATGTAGGCACAGCTGCTCTATTTTTTGGTTTCCATTTCCATGAAGTATATTTTACATCATTTTATTTTCAGTCTATATGTGTCATTCTAGGTGAAGTGCATTTATTTTAAGCAACAAATTATTTGGTCTTGAGTATGTATCCATTCAGCTACTCTATGTCTTCTAATTTGAGAATTTAGTTCATTTATACTCAATGTTACTATGGATAAGTAAGGACTCACTCTTGCAATGTTGTTATTTGTTTTCTGTTTTTTTCTGTGGTTTTT
The DNA here is from genome assembly GCF_000001405.40 of Homo sapiens. Taxonomy (NCBI): domain Eukaryota; kingdom Metazoa; phylum Chordata; class Mammalia; order Primates; family Hominidae; genus Homo; species Homo sapiens. The sequence continues at coordinate 135,655,943 of NC_000004.12, read as the reverse complement.
TCCTTTTTTCCTTCCTTCTCATCTTCATTTAACTGAAGGTAGTTTCTTTTGGCAATATGTTTTAATTTTTTGTTGTATCTGTGGTTTTTTTTGGGGGGGGGAGTGGTTACCATGAGGCTGTAAAAAACCCCTAATAACCCATTATTTTAAACTCTTGACAACTATCACTATTTGCATAAGCAAAATAAAAAAAAAACAAAGAAACTTAATACAAACTATATTTTAACTTCATCTCCCACTTTTTAACTTTTTGTTGCTTCTATTTATATCCTATTGTATTGTCCATGTCTTGAAAAATTGTTGTGGTTATTATTTTTGATCAGCCGCCTTTAATCTTTCTACTCATGATATGACTATTTTATATACCACGATTACAGTGTTATAATATTTTGTGTTTTTCTGTGTCCTTACTATTACCAGTGAGTTTTGAACCTTCAGATGATTTTTTTATTGCTCATTAACATCATTTTCTTTCAGATTGAAGAGCTTTTTTAAGCATTTCATGTGGGACAGGTCTGGTGTTGATGAAATTTCTCAGCTTTTGTTAACCTGGGAATATCTTTATTTCTCCTTCAAAACTGCAGGATATTTTTACTGGATATACTATTCAAGGATAAAATATTTTTCTTCAGAACTTCAATCATGTCAAGCCACTCACTCCTCCTGGCTTGTAAGGTTTCCACAAAGTCTGCTGCCAGACATATTGAAGCTCCATTGTATATTATTGGTTTCTTTTCCCTTGCTGCTTTTAGATTATTTCTTTATCCTTGACCCTTGGAACGTTCATTATTAAATGTCTTGTAGTCATCTTATTTGAGTTAAATCTGCTTGGTGTGCTAGAACCATCTTGTAGCTGAATATTGATGCCTTTCTTTAGGTTTGGGACATTCTCATTTTTTCTTTGAAAAAACCTTTTACTTTTCTCTCTCTACCTCCTCTTTATTTATTTATTTATGTTTTTTATTATACTTTAAGTTTTAGGGTAATGTGCACAACGTGCAGGTTTGTTACATATGTATACATGTGCCACGTTGGTGTGCTGCACCCATTAACTCTTCATTTAACATTAGGTATATCTCCTAATGCTATCCCTCCCCACTTCCCCCACCCCACAACAGGTCCTGGTGTGTGAGGTTCCCCTTCCTGTGTCCATGTGTTCTCATTGTTCAACTCCCACCTATGAGTGAGAACATGCGGTGTTTGGTTTTTTGTCCTTGTGATAGTTTGCCGAGAATGATGGTTTCCAGCTTCATCCATGTCCCTACAAAGGACATGAACTCATCATTTTTTATGGCTGCATAGTATTCCATGGTGTAAATGTGCCACATTTTCTTAATCCAATCTATCATCGTTGGACATTTGGGTTGGTTCCAAGTCTTTGCTATTGTGAATAGTGCCGAGCACTTTTACACTGTTGGTGGGACTGTAAACTAGTTCAACCATTGTGGAAGTCAGTGTGGCGATTCCTCAGGGATCTAGAACTAGACATACCATTTGACCCAGCCATCCCATTACTGGGTATATACCCAAAGGATTATAAAACATGCTGCTATAAAGACACATGCACATGTATGTTTATTGCAGCACTATTCTACCTCCTCTTTAAGGCCAATACTAGATTTGTCCTTTTAAGGCTATTTTCTACATCTTATAAGCATACTTCATTCTTATATTTTTTGTCTCCTCTGTGTATTTTTAAATAGCATGTCTGTATTCAAGCTCACCAGTTTTTTCTTCTATTTGATCAATTCTGCTGTTAAGTGTCTTTCATGGATTCTTCAGGATGTCATTTTCAACTTCAGAATTTCTGCTTGGGTATAGAAGAGTTAGGTATTTATTATAGTCTTTGCAGGCTGGGCTTGTTTGTACCTGTTCCTCTTGGGAAACATTTACAGATATTTTAAGGAACTTGGGTATTGTGTCACTGCAGTCATATCTGCATTAGGGGTCACCCCAAGCTCAGCAGCACTGTGGATCTTGCAGATTTTAAGATGCACAATCTTAGTGGTCTTTGATTACATCTGGAAGAATTACCTGGTTACCAGTTAGATAATCTTGTTTTCTTCTTTTCCTTTCACCTAAACAGTGTCTCTCTCTGTGCTGAGCTGCCTGGAGCTGGGGTAGGGTTGACACAAGCAACCCTGTGGACACCACCACTGGGATTATACTGTGTCAGACCTGAAGCCAGAATCGCACTGGGTCTCATCCAAAGCCAGTATTAAGCATTGCCTGGCCTATGATTGGTGAAGGCCCACGGGCTCTGTAACCATCATGTGGCAAACCCAGCCAAGCTGTCCCCTTCCTTTCAGGGCAGCAAGTTTCCCCTAGTCTTGGGCAAGTCCGGCAATGTTGTTCAGTGTTGCGGGAAGTCAGGGACCCCAAAAGGAGGGACCGGCTGAAGCCATGGCAGAAGAAAGTGGATTGTGAAGATTTTATGGACATTTATTAGTTCCCCAAATTAATACTTTTATAATTTCTTATGCCTGTCTTTACTGCAATCTCTAAAACATAAATTGTAAAGATTTCATGAACACTTATCACTTCCCTAATCAATATCCTTGTGATTTCCTAAGCCTGTCTTTACTTTAATCTCTTAATCCTGTCAGCTGAGGAGGATGTACATCACCTCAGGACCCTGTGATAATTGCATTAACTGCACAAATTGTACAGCATGTGTGTTTGAGCAATATGAAATCTGGGCACCTTGAAAAAAGAACAGGATAACAGCAATGTTTAGGAAAAAAGAGAGATAACCTTAAACTCTGACCGCCGGTGAGCCGGGCGGAACAGAGCCATATTTCTCTTCTTTCAAAAGCAAATGGGAGAAATATCACTGAATTCTTTTTCTCAGCAAGGAACATCCCTGAGAAAGAGAACGCATGCCTGTGGGTAGGCCTATGAACAGCCCTCCTGGGCGTGGCTGTCTCTTATGGTCGAGGCTGCAGGGGTGAAATAGACCCCCGTCTCCCATAGCACTCCCAGGCTTATTAGGAAGAGGAAATTCCCACCTAATAATTTTGGTCAGACTGGTTGCTCTCAAAACGCTGTCTCCTGATAAGATGTTATCAATGACAATGGTGCCCGAAACATCATTAGCAATTTTAATTTTGCCTCCATCCTGTGGTCCTGTGATCTCACCCTGCCTCCACTTGCCTTGTGATATTCTATTACATTGTAAAGTACTTGATGTCTGTGACCCACACCTATTTGCACACTCCCTCCCCTTTTGAAATTCCCTAATAAAAAATTGCTGGTTTTTGTGGCTTTTGGGGCATCACGGAACCTACTGACTATCCCCCAGATGCCCAGCTTTAAAATTTCTCTCTTTTGTACTCTGTCCCTTTATTTCTCAAGCTGGTCAATGCTTAAGGAAAATAGAAAAGAACCTACGTGAATATCAGGGCAGGTTCCCCTATAGTTCAGGACCCAGGCTCTGGAATTGAAAACCTGAAAAATCTACTTGATGCTCTATTCTACTGAATCTGAGCTGACATCCTAGCCGGAAGACACAGTTCTTCCCACTCTTCTCTCCTCTTTCTACAAGTAAAAGAATCTCTCCCCATGACCACCACTGCCCCAGAGTCATGGCAAATACAGCCTGGCTACCATTAATGTTCACTGAGGAGCCCAAGGTCTCCTCAGTCAGTTTGAGATGAATATTGTCACTCCTGGGACTCTCTCTTCAGGGAAGTAGTCTCCTCTCAGGCCTAGGACAGGTTCAGAAATGCCATCCAAAAGCCAAGGCCTGGGATTGGGGACCCTAAGAACACGCTTAGTGCTCTACTCCACTGTGGCCAAGCTGGCACCCAAGCTTCCAGAAAAATTTCCTTTTACTGTTTCCTCTCCTTTTCTCAGGAAGAAGGAGTCCTTCTGAGTAGCCACCACAGCTACAAACATTCTGGGTCACACCTAAAGCCAGCACAATTCTGAGTCTCACCCAAAGGCCACAGTAAGTACTGCCTGGATGCCACTGTTGATTTTTCAGGGCCCAAGAGTTCTTAGTCAGAAGGTGATAAATTCTGCTAGGTCTGGACCCTTCCTTTCAAGGCAGTGGGTTTCCTTCCAGCCCAGGGTATGTTTAGAAATGTCATCCTGGAGAGAGGGCCTGTAATGGGGGTCTCAGGACTTTGTCTGGTGCCCTACCCTACTGTGGCTGGTATGTAAGTTGCAAGACAAAGTCCTTTATACCTTTTCCTTTCCTCTCTTCAAGCAGAAGGAGCTTCTCCTGGAGCTGTGAGCTGTGTTGCTTGGGTTGAGAGGGGTGGCAAAACGACTCCCTTGGCCACCCCAGCCAGTGTTTCACGGGGTAATGTGTGTGTCCCTCCTACTCAGTACACTAGCTACACGTCCAGCACAACACCAGCAATTGCAATCCTTGTAGTCTAGACTGCCTTTCGAGTTTATTTAGAACACCAGAGCACTATGGCCTGTGGTGGCCAGGCTTGCTAGAACTGAAGTTACAGCTGCTGGGATGGGCAAATTGCCTCCTGGCTAGGTCTGGTGTAAAAGCTCCCTCTTTGGTTGCCAGGGCATTTTTTACCAACGTTACTTTCCACTGTTACAAGGCATCACTGAGTTCCAATGCAAAGTCCCACAATCACTGCACCCTCTGTACCCCAGATGCATGGATTCTTTCTCTGTATGCCACATGGCCACTGTTGAAGAATGGAGGGGGGTGGAGTCAGAAATTTATGACTGCCTTTCCTGTCCTCTTAAGTGACTCTTTCAGTGGTATAAAGTTAAAATCAGGTACGATGATCACTCACCTATTTGTTGTTGTTCTTCTTCTTATGAAGATGATTTTTTATGTGTATGGACAGTTGTTCAATTTTGTGTTCCCGTGAGAAGCATGATCAGTGGAGGCTTCTATTGGGCTATCTTACCCAAATAAATGTATGTGTGCTAGGGTTTAAGAATTAAGTAAATGCCTCTTTTGAATTTTGGAAATTTCTAGATACAAATATAATTTCATTTTATATATATACATATATAATTAAATTATATTTGTATCTAGAAATTTCCAAAATATATATATATTTGATAAAATATATATATTTTATCAAATATATATGTATCAAATATATATATGATATGTATGTATTAGTTGAATAAAACAATTTGATTGTCCTGTCAAATATAATATTGTAAAAAAGTGCACCCTACTGGTATACAGTTAAGAAAAAATATTAAACTATCAAATCTGCAAAGCTTTTCTCCCCAGAATACTAAAAATATGTTTCATCTGTACTCTAGAGCATTTTATTAAATAAAAAGGGTACACTGCAATGAAAATTAGATACACTCAATTACACAGATCCAAAACCTAAGAAATGCCAAAAATAGTAATGGATTAAAAAAAGTTTATTCCTGGTAATAAAAGGAAGATAAACATCAAATACTAAGTAATTCAAGCTTTATAACAAATAATATTGTTGATAATATAGAGAAACAAGAGGGAATGTATATTTTTAAATATAATAGCATTAAACATGTTGCTAAAGATACCCATGTCTTTGTAGCAACTTGAGGATATTTGTAAACATCTTGCAACATGATATTCCATATATTTTGATTTTGATATATAAATATGTAGGAATAACAACAGAAGTGCCATCTCCTTAGATGTAAATTTCAAAATTTCAGGAATATTTGATTGAAAATAATATGCATTAATTATATCGATTCTTTACTATGATTTTAAAATTAGAATTCAACATTAATTTTTTTGTAAAATTATATATCTCAGTGTAAAAAAGGTACTTTTTAAGATAACACCAGGTTGTATGTTTTATTAGTAAAATAAATGTATCAAAGGTTAACAAAGTATTTTAACTGAATATCACATCAGAAAATTTTTGTGTAATTGGTCAAACTGTCAAGTTTGATTAATTGAATACAATTTGGAGAGTTCTTAATTTTAAATAAAAATTATCTGCCTACACTGTTGCAAAAATATCTTAAACTCCTGATGTAAAATGGAAACTGAGCAAATATATTTTCCCATTTCTCCTATGCATTTTATTGATCAAATAATAATAAGAGGAAGAGCACATAAATTTGGTTGAGTGTAGTTTCCCTTAAAGTTATAAAGATATATCACTGGATTTAGTATAAACTTTGGAGTGCTGGAGATATAGGGAGATATCATGTACAAACTGTAAAAGGGTCTAAACCTCTTAACTTTTTTTACACTTTATTCATAGTTTCACAGAAATAGACATAGTGGCTCAGGCGGTGTCTATATAAGTGTCATGGAGAAATATACAAATAGGTTATTCCTTTATGTTTTCAAAAATTTTCACTGTGCAACCTACTATATATATAAAACTGTTCTAAGTAACACTGTAGATATAATAAAGATAATATGTATGCAGGCATATGAGAACTCATATATATACACACGTATATACATTACATATAATGTACAATTTATAATATATAATACATATATAATGTATGATACATATATATTTCAATAAAGTTCTTTATCATAAGAAAATGTGCAAAAGTATAATTCTGAAAATTTCAGAAGTATTTAAAATAAAAGTATATTTTGAAACTTTGTTCAAGAGATGTTATTCACAAGTATAACACAATAAATATTATTTGTGGATTAATTTTCAAACAATACAAGTGCCCAAACCAAATACATGTTCAAACTAAATGTTAAAATTTTCATCAATATACACTCATAACTCCATGAACAGTAGAAATTAGGTCTATTAAAGTGTTTGTATCTTCTTACCTTTCTTCAGATTTCAGTTAGCATCACTGGAGAAAAGCTGAGAATGGGAAAGAAGAAAGACATTTCAGTAAAGTATCTTACATGGTGAATATTGTATAAATTAATTGCTTTCAAGACATTTTGTTCTTATGATATCTTATACAATTTCATTTCTTTCTTCTAGAACAAGCACCCATGTCTTTGTGTTGTTGATTTAATATTATTTTACTGTGTTTTATATAAAAATGTAGGCATTGAATCAAATAACAATTTGTTTCAAATTCCAAACTGTGTATTAAATATTTTACAGGTGTTATTTTCCTTAATCTCCACAATAATCAATGGCATTATTACCCCAGTCATATATAAAAAATTATTTAGAAATTTTGTAAGATTCAATCACAGAGCTATACTGTCTCCTTATCATTGTCTTCATCATTTTATTCATATTTATCATTGTGATAAGTAATTAAATAATATATCTGCTTCCATGATTTAATAAAATATATTTTTCAGTTAAATGTTATTTCTCCAACAAATTATAATGACAAACACTAATATTATAGAAACTGATTGTTTATTTTGATAGCTTTTTTACCAAGAGAAATGCTGAAAAAGTGCTATGAGTGATAAAATTTCGTTGTTAAAATAAGGTGACCATCATGAAAAATACAGCAATTTTTATTATTATTGAAAGATGATAATCAAAGAGAACAGGTACATCTGTAACTCCACCTCTAAATCTGAAAGTTTAAACAACTGTTGAGAGAGCAGAGAGATCAATGATGTAAACAAAGGTTGGTTGCAGAGTTTTCAATAACTTCCATTTCAATTCAAGGAAATTGTGCTAGAGGTTGAAAAGAAAATATTAAGATGATGGAGAACAACAATGGGTAATATGAAAGTCACAACTAGGATCTGCATAGCATCCTGTACCACTGTTCCATCTATTGGCTGCATCTACTAGGCTCTCTTGCAGGGACATGAAAGAAATGAAAGAAGCAGCAATATAATACCAGCAGCATCCACTACATTGGGATGTGAAGAGTATTTGTGATTCAGAAGATGCATAATTAAAGAGAGAAGATTCTTACCAAAAAATGCAATATAAAGAGAAAAATTCAAAAAATGTGGCAGACAATGGAAGATAAACCATCCCCATGTAAACTCACAAGGTCTAAATTTTAGGCTCCTCACTTGTACAATTCTTTCCAAGGCCTTAGGAGAGGGCATAGCTTAGTGTGTTTTCATGGTCACATATTTTTATAAAATTTGCAAAATTAAGATATTTAGACAAGAATTGGTTAAGACCCTTTTTTTAAAGTAATAATTTTCTCTCTATTACACATCATTTAGTGGAAAGTGGCATTTTTGGTATTCAGCTAAAGAAAATTTGAATAGGAAATATGCCATAGTAAAAACATCTTCGAATACCTCCATAAAACAGTGGGAAATTATAGATTGTTATTTGTTCATTATTTGTTCATATAGCATAACTCATTTGGTCAAATTTAAAATTATGTATTATAATATTAGTAGAAAATGGGTGTTTAAAACGGAATATTAAAATGATAAAGATAAGCAATGGCATCAATATGTATTTTCTGAAATCAAACAAACTGGTATATAGCTTAGGTTAGACCAAAAGTAACAATTCATTAAGTGAAAGATGGAAAATTTTAAAAGGTTTAATAAAAAAGCCCTTGGATTATTTGATAATCCAACTATAAAAACAAATAAATTATATAAACACATTGAAAAAAGATATAAATTTCTGCCGATTTTACATAAAATGTCACCATTGATGGAAATTATATAAAAGACTGCTATGAGAACACTGACAACAAACTGGTTAATAAGTATCAAAAATTCAAACAGTATTTAAGATATGCCACTGCATAAAAAACTTGAAATATTCAAAATCATATTTCTAATGTGAAAGATGCTATAAGTTCGTATATTTTCTAAATTTGACAGTACTCCTAAACATTTACATAATATTGCGTTATGAATTATGAAAACACAAATAAGACATAAAAACAATTTAATAAAAATCAAGTTTTGAATACAATAATGGGGATAAAGTAATTATATTTTTATAGAAAATTGTAGCAGAAAATCTTTAATATATTAGAAAACATTCAAAGAGCATGCACCCAAAAATAAATGTGTGCATAGGGAGACTATTCTAGTTTCTTAGCCTGTTTTGGATGCTATAATGAAATACCTTAGACTGGGTTATTTATGAAGAACAGAAATTTATTGTTCATAGTTCTAAAGGCTGGGAAGTTCAAGATCAAGGCACCAGCAGATTCGACGTCTGCTCTATAGATGGCACCTTGCTGCTATTTCCTCACATGGGAGAAATGGCAGGGTAGAGCCCTTCAAATTATTTTATAAGGGTGCTAATACCATTTATGAGGGCTTCACCCTCGTTAATTAATCAATCACTTTTCAAAAGGCCCTAACTCTTAATACTACCATAATGTGGATTAATTTTCAACAGAATTCTAGAGGCATAATTTTAAACCATAGCATATAAATATGCATCAGATTTGTATCTTTGTTCTGCCCCTAATTCCTGTAGAACCAGGGATAGTATATGTAATCTTTCTGAACCTCATTTAAATGAGACAGGATTTGATTTAATTTCATCAATTTGTTTTAACTGCCTTTTCTGGATTGTTCTGTGACAATTACATAAAATAAGGTGTATACAAAACACATAGCTTAATGCATTCTATGAAGAGTAGAGATGCTTTAAATAATAGTATATGTAAAAATCAAGAGTTGGACACTCAAATCTTATGTTTGATCTGACTTCTCATTTCATCTATTATTGTAGGGTGCCTGAGGTTGTGGGTCTTTTGAGGGGTGATCAGTTGTTAAGTTCTAAATGGTAACCACAGTTCAGATGGCAGGTATCAGGTTCATCCTGTCATTTTCATTTTTATTTTTTTCAGAATGTGTATTTGGGAGAGTAGTTGGTTGGAATTATCTTTCATTCCTGTCCTACTTTATGAGCAGGTTAAGTTCAAGACTATCTGTGTTTTATAAAGCCTTTGTATACCCTTAAAGCATGTGTCACAATGGAAGAGTGTTCATTGCTAACAACCGAAGTGTGATAGTTCATTACTAACACAAGGACCAACTCAAACAGGGCAATAGATCTTTATTTTTTTCTTCACTAAAGAATAGATCTTTATTTTATCCTTCACTAAAAAGGTGGAGAATAGCTCAACAACAAAAATAAAAATTTGGTCATTCAAAGTTGTTTTTGATATCTTCAGATTTTACAACTATTATTTTATTACAGGCTAAATTCTCTGAACCCAAAGATATAGCAGCCTGGAGAGTTTTTCCATTAAATGATTCCTAAGCTTAAAGTTCTCTATAAAAAGTTGCAGTTTCCATTTGTGTCCACTGAAGGGCAGATATAGGGAAAAAACTTCTTGAACTTTGCTTGAATTTCACATTTTAAGTTAAAGACTACTGAACAGAGCCCATTGCCTGATTGATAACGTTCTCATTCCTAGAGGAATCAAAGTAAATATGCATTCAAGAAGAAGCAGTCTATAAAATTTAAAAGGAATGGGTGAAAAAAAGAAGTTGTGTGGATCTTCCAAATGTGGAATAAAATGGGGTCTTTAGTCACTTAAGTTATAAAACCATGAATATATATTCCATTATATAGTCATGAGCTATTCAGTTAATCAACTGATATTTATTTTTGGTCACTCTCTGCCTCTGTCAATAAAACATTAAATGAGATGTAGATTTTTTTCCTGATTATATAAGAGATACTCTTAATAAATCAAGAAATTAAAATAAAGTACAGCAAATATTTGAAGATACAGTATTTTGAAATATCTCACCTTTATTATTTTTTTTCTATTGCCCTTTATTAGTCTGTATTCAAGCTGCTAGTAAAGACATATCCTAGACTAAGTAATTCATAAAGGAAAGACGTTTAATTGACTCACAGTTCGACATGGCTGGGGAGGTCTTAAAATCATGGTGGAAGGAAAATGAGGATCAAAGTCATGTCTTTCATAGTGGCAGGCAAGAGAGAATGTGCAGGGTAACTGCCTTTTATAAAACCATTAGATCTCATGAGACTTATTCACGGTCATGAGAACAGCATGAGAAAAACCTACCCCTACAATTTAGTTACCTCCCACTGGGTCCCTCCTATGTCACATGGGGATTATGAGAGCTACAGTTAAGCTGAGATGTTGGTGGGGACACAGCCAAACCATATCAGTCCACCTCTGGCCGCTCCAAAATTTCATATCTTTACATTTCAAAACCAGTCATGCCTTCCCAACAGTCCCCCAATGTCTTAACTCATTCCAGCATTAACCCAAAAGTCCAAGTCCAAAGTCTCATCTGAGACAAGGCAAGTCTCTTCTGCCTATGAGCCTGTAAAATCAAAAGCAAGTTAGTTACTTAGAAGATACAACGGGGGAACAGGTATTTGGTAAATATACCCACTCTACCTGGGAGAAATTGGCCAAAGCAAAGAGCTACAGGTCCCGTGTAAGTCCAAAATCCACTAGGGCAGCCAAATATTGCAGATCCAAAATGATGTCCTTAGAATCCATGTCTCACATCCAGGTCATGCTGATGCAAGAGATGGGTTCCCATGGTGTTGGCCAGCTCCTTCCCTGTGGATTTGCAGGGTACAGCCTCCTTCCTGGCTGCTTTTATGGGCTGGCCTTGAGGGTCTGCAAGTTTTCCAAGCACATGGTGCAAGCTGTTGGTACATCTATCATTCTGGGGTCTGGAAGACAGTGACCCTCTTCTCATAGCCCCACTAGGCAGTGCCCCAGTAGGGACTCTGTGTGGGGCCTCCAACCCCATATGTCCCTTCTTCACTGTCTTAGCAGAGGTTCTCCATGAAAGCTCTGCCCCTGCAGCACATTTCTGCCTGGACATCCAGGCATTTCTATACATCTTCTGAAATCTAGGCATAGGTTCCCAAGCCTGAATTGTCGACTTCTGTGCACCAACAGACTCAGCAACACGTGGAAGCTGCCAAGGTTTGGGGCATGTACCCTCTGAAGCCACAGCCCAAGCTGTACAGTGGCCCCTTTTAGCCATGGCTAAAACTGAAGCAGCTGGGATGCAGGGCACCAAGTCCCTAGGCTGCACAGAGCAGGGAAACCTTGGGCTAGGCCCACAAAACCATTTTTTTTCCTCCTAGGCCTCCAAGCCTGTGATGGGAGTTGCTGCCGGGTAGGTCTCCAACATGCCCTGGAGACATTTTTCTCATTGTCTTGGCAATTAAGATTTGGCTCCTCATTACTTAAGCAAATTTCTGCAGCAGGTTTGAGTTTCTTCTCTGAAAATGAGATTTTCTTTTCTATCGCATCCTCATCAGGCTGCAAATTTTTCAAACATTTATGCTCTGCTACCCTTTTAAACATAAGTTCCAATTCCAAATACAAATTTTATGTATCCATATATCTGTGGATACATAAAACTGAATGCTTTTAACAGCACCCAAATCACTTCTTGAATGCCTTGTTGCTTAGAAATTGCTTCTGCCAGATGCTCTAAATTATCTCTATCAAATTCAAAGTTCCACAGATCTCCAGGGCAGGAACAAAATGCTGCCAGTCTCTTTGCTAAAACATGAAAAGAGTCACCTTTGTTCCAGTTCCCAACAAATTTCCCATCTCCATCTGAGACCACCTCAACCGGGATTTCATTGTCCATATCACTATCAGCATTTTGGTCAAAGTCCTCCAAACTGTTTTAACCTCTGCCTGTTATACAGTTCCAAAGTCCCTTCCACATTTTCGGGTATCTTCACAGCAGCACCCCACTCTACTAGTACCAATTTTCTGTATTAGTCTGTTCTCACACTGCTAATACAGACATATCAAAGACTGGGTAACTTATAAAGAAAAGAGGCTTAATTGACTCACAGTTCTACATGGCTGGGGAGGCTATGCAATCATGGTGGAAGGCAAACGAGGAGCAAAATCGTGTCTTACATGGTGGCAGGCAAGAGAGTGTGTGCAGAGGAATTGCCCTTTATAAAACCATCAGATATCATGAGACTTATTAACTGTCATGAGAACAGTACAGGAAAAACTTGCCCCCATGATTCAATTATCTCCCACCAGTCTCCTCTCACGACACTTGGGGACAATGGGAGCTACAACTTAAGATGAGATTTGGGTAAGGATACAGCCAAACCATATCATGTCCTATTTTAGGAACCATGCAAGTTTTTACCTTTACTCCAATGCAAGGATAGTACCATGCCAGACAGCAAATTACCTACAAGCCTACAAGTTCTTTCCTAAATTTTTATTTATTCCAAAAACCAATATTCCTAGGGAAATGGCAAGGAGGCAACAAACTACCTTGCAACTTAAGTATATATCTAGAGAAAAAATTTTTAAGATTGCTGATTTTTCTAATTATGTTATCAAGATTAGAAAAATATGGTGGTTGAGATGGAGGTAGAAGATAGGGAAGATAGGAAATTATGGGTTATTTGAGAGAGAACTTGAACCCTGAATCAGAACAAGTTCAGGGATACAATAATAGCTTCAGCTAAGGTTGTGTGTTAGCAAGTTGTTTAAAATTTATTTATTAGTATTCTCATTTTAAAAGAAAACCACTAAGGGTATCTACCTTATGGGGGTGTTAAGAGAATTTAGTGATTTAATATTAGAAATTTTTTATTACAGAAAATTTGGAAAACACAAAAAAGGAAAAGTCAGGCAAAACAAAGCCCAGGACCTCACTACCCAAGACTGCCACAGTGTCTTCTCATGTGTCTCTTTCTTTTTTTTTTTTTTTTTTTGGTATTTATTGATCATTCTTGGGTGTTTCTCGGAGAGGGGGATTTGGCAGGGTCATAGGACAATAGTGGAGGGAAGGTCAGCAGATAAACACGTGAACAAGGGTCTCTGGTTTTCCTAGGCAGAGGGCCCTGCCGCCTTCCGCAGTGTTTGTGTACCTGGGTACTTGAGATTAGGGAGTGGTGATGACTCTTAAGGAGCATGCTGCCTTCAAGCATCTGTTTAACAAAGCACATCTTGCACCGCCCTTAATCCATTTAACCCTGAGTGGACACAGCACATGTTTCAGAGAGCACGGGGTGGGGGTAAGGTTACAGATTAACAGCATCCCAAGGCAGAAGAATTTTTCTTAGTACAGAACAAAATGGAGTCTCCTATGTCTACTTATTTCTACACAGACACAGCAACAATCTGATCTCTCTTTCTTTTCCCCACATTTCTCCCTTTTCTACTAGACAAAACCGCCATCGTCATCATGGCCCATTCCCAATGAGCTGCTGGGTACACCTCCCAGTGAGGTCTTGGGCTTTGTTTTGCCTGACTTTTCCTTTTTTGTGTTTTCCAAATTTTCTGTAATAAGGACGTAATATATTTGTACTAGAAAAGTTCCAAATAAACATTTTAAACAAAAAAAAAAAAGAAATTTTTTAAAAAGCAACTTTGAACTTTTCGCTATCAAACTCAGCAAGTATTAGCTATTATCATCTCTGCAATTAACTTAGTGGCTAAAGATAAGGAATACATCAACAGGGGTAGCTCAGAAGATACCTCAGGGACAGATAAGTTTCAGTTCCAAATAAGAGAGGAGAGAAGCTCCCAAAACAATCTAGGTAAAGTTTCTGCAATTCTCATGGAATGAGGGCTTATAACAAAATACAGTTCAATAGAAAAATAAAATTCACTTTCATTCACCCCTAAGTTTGTGGACTGAGCTAGTACCCACCAAATATTTGTGAGAATTACAGAACAATCCTAATTTACACATCAGAGAGATCTGACACTCTCAGATGCCTGAGAATGCTTCACAAAAGAAATTATTATAAGCTGAACCTTAGAGGATGATTAAAATTTATCTAGGTAACAAGATGTAGATCTTTTTTATTTTTAGCAAAAGGAAACCCATAATCCTTGCCTTGATTCCAGAAAAAGTATTATAAATTCTAGGAGATGAACAAAATCCACAGCCTCTTTGGGAAGAGTTTATTATATTTTTTTATTACTTTTTAAGAAGTGCTTGCAAATATTTTATTATTTGCATACAATTTAATTTCTAAACGATTCTAACATTTAGTGATTAATTTAAAAAGAATGATAATGATTTGTACTGTAAATGCCTGAATAATGTAAAACATACATTTATTTATTTTATTAATATTAAGTAATTAGACTGCTATAAACTATAGTATATTCATGAAGTACAAAAGAGATGTAATAAAGATCCTTCTTCCATTGGCCTGTGCTTATTATTTGATAGGTTATGATCATTTTACATAGTAAGCTTAAAATATCAAAAACAGATATATTCTACTTTAACCACGTTCTTTTAGTTACCAATAATTAACAAAACATTTTCGGCCGGGCGCGGTGGCTCACGGCTGTAATCCCAGCACTTTGGGAGGCCGAGGCGGGCGGATCATGAGGTCAGGAGATCGAGACCACCCTGGCTAACACGGTGAAACCCCACCTCTACTAAAAATAAAAAAAAAATTAGCCGGGTTTGGTGGCGTATGCCTGTAATCCCAGCTACTCGGGAGGCTGAGGCAGGAGAATTGCTTAAACCCGGGAGGTAGAGGCTGCAGTGAGCCAAGATCGTGCCACTGCACTCCAGCCTGAGTGACAGAGCAAGACTCCGTCAAAAAAAAAAACCAAAAAACAGAACATTTTGTTTTTCAAATTTGAATAATACAAATATAGAATTTGCATATTTTACTCACAGTATTCTTCAGATATAGTATTTAAGGTAATACCATCTTTGATGAAATAAAATTATAGAAAAGTAAGAGCTAAGAAACATAAATACAAAGAAAAATGAAAGTATGCATTAACTTATTTTTTGTATGCCTGATATTTTCCCTTTCCTGTGATTTCTAGTCTTATACAGTCTTTATGATTTTATGCTTTTGAGATTTGGAGCAGCCAGAAAGCCCAAACTGCCTGAAGTAAAAATTTCTTCAAATAGTAACAGTAAAAGCACAAATGAAAGTATCATGTCTCCTAGACTTTCCACTGACTTGGACATGCTTGGAGTATTTCAGGATCTTGGCGGGAAATGAGATCTCTGAATCCCAATAGCAGTAATCCAGGAGAAGCAAGAGATCTAGGATAATAACTTCCTATTAACGTTATCATGTTTAGCAAATAAAATACAGGGTGCCTAATTAAATTTGAATTTCAAATAAACAATGGATAATCTTTTAGTATAAGTATGTACCATGCAATATTGTTATGTATTTATAACAAAAACAAAATTGGTATGTATTTATAACAAAAAATGTGTTGTTCAGCTGAAATTTAATTATATCTGGAATGCCCTGAATTTTGTCTGCCAACCTAACCATGGTTTAAACTAGAGATTTCAATGCAATACCCAAGAGAAATGAATGCATATACCTACCACAAGACACATACATTAATCTTCATAGAAGATTTTACTTATAATAGCCCAAACAGAAAACAATGTAATGGAATACTCCATAACTTAAATAATTAACTTTCATTTTTGAACAAAATACAATTTACCTTTTCATCTTTGGTGAAAGTTCCCTAAACTAATGGGGGATATTCCCCAAGATTTATATATTATAAACTTAGTGATAATAGTGATGATAACTCATAAAACACTTTTAGCTTGCTAGGCATTTTTAGAAATTACAAGTACAATATATACTTTAAGACTCATAATAACCTTTTGCATAAATATTGTTTTTAATGTTTCTCCATTTCACAGGTAAGGAAACTGAGGAAGAGAAAAGCTTAGAAACCTGACAAAGATGAAGATGAAATCAATATTGTAAGATCCCCAATATGTTCCATAGCTCTGGACAAGGATCAATTCAGGGAAATACCCAGGCATTCTAAGATCAAAGAGCCTAGTCTCTCAAGTAGGAACTGCCTGCAATGAGGAAGCACATGATTGCTGGGCATGACATGACCTGCGGGCTAGGAGAATGGCCAGTGTAGACTACTAAGTGATGATAGTAGGACCTTTCCCAAAGGCTTATAGCTTCTGTGACCCTGGGATCAGGCCATAGCTGGAGAACTTATTAACAAATGCTAAAACTTATGTACTATGTACTGTTTATCTGTCATTGTAGCATGTCATTCCAGAGGTCATCATCCAGTCCTTATCAATCGCTGCAGATATCTTATGACTAAGGACCATCAGTAGTCACTGCTGATATTAGAAATCTCAGTGGACTGTGGGAAGACCTAATTTAAATATAACTGCAAACTGATTTAGAAAATGTAGCATTATTTGAGCTTGCTAGCGTGAACCATTTCTCTAAGATTCCTAAAAGATCATTTTGAATAGACATTTGATTTTCAAATAACTTCCTTCAAATTTCTAAAAAAAAAAAGAAAGAAAGAAAGAAATCAAATCCCTCAACAGTCTAGCTCTGGATCTGGAGAGGCTGGGCAATCATGTTGAGACAGTATATGTTGCATATGCTGAAATAGTCATCTATCAAAATTTAGTATGGTTTCTGGAGATAAGAGTATTGTACTAGAACAAGAGTGTTCCTGATATGGTTAGGTTTTGTGTGCCCACCCAAATCTCATCTTGAATTATAATCCCCATAATCCTCAGGTGTCAAAGGAGACACAAGGTTTAGGTAATTGATTCATAGAGGTGGTTTCAGCCATGCTGTTCTCATAGTAGTGAGAGTTCTCACAAGATCTGATTGATTTATCAAGGGCTCTTCCCCTTAACTCAGCACTTCTTCCTGCTACCTTGTGAAGAAGGTGCCTTGCTCCCCCTTTGACTTCCATCATGATTCTAAGTTTCCTAAGGCCTCGCCAGCCATGCTGAACTGTGAGTCAACTAAACCTCTTTCCTTTATAAATTACCCAATCTGGAGAGAAAATGGGGAGTAGAGGAAAACAGCTTTGAAAAGTAACATTTTATTTGAAAATAAATGAAACAAGACCAGGATGTTTTGAACCAAGGACTGTGGTGACATGAACCCATGTCCCTGAAACATTTCATAGCAGTACAAAACAATTTATAGCAGTATGAAAATGGACTAATACACCTCCCTCCCTGAAACATTGCATAGCAGTATGAAACATTTTATAGCAGTATGAGGACATACTAGATATCAAAAGCAAATTGCTTCATTTTATACCTGGGACTTCATTTTTTAGAGATGACTCCTATGTCTTTAAGAATGGCAGTAACTACTTGCTGTTGTAAATCTCTGGATTACATCATAATTCCTGTTCAGGTCTTCATTATTTCCATCACCTTTAAAACAAATTCTATAAATTAATGTACGATTTTCTGGTAGAAATATTTATAATGTTTTTAAGCTTTTGATTAAACATTTGACTTACACATTGGTGAAGAAAAACAGAAAAGAAATTCATGATAATAGTGTTCTCTGTGATTTTTTTTTAGAGGTGAGAAATATCTACACAGTAAAGAGAAACAAGATAGGTATGTATAATCACTACATTGCCAAGATCATACTCATCTGAAGGAACCTTAAAGTGAAAGTGAGACACATTCCCTCACCTCAAAGAAAGCATGTGCAAACTGGATGTCTGTGATATTTCTAAAGTGCAGAGCCTTAACACAGGCGGTCAATAAATGCAAAGTTCAAGCTGAGCATTTTCTAACAAAGATACTTAAGTATAACAAGCCCCACTAGAGTTTTTTAAACTATATTTTAATAGTTAACTGAGAAGCATTGCCATCCTATATGTGGGAATACTGATAATATTTAATAAATCATTAATTATTCAGAAGTTATGTAAAAAGAATTTGTCATAGTAACAAAAATTTGGGAACCAAGATTGAACTCCTTACTTACATGGAAATGATCAATGAATGAAAACAGAATATATAAACCTTTATTAGAATTATTTGAGGAAGACAGAGAAATGAAAGCAGCAAGTAAATTCAGCACCTTCAACTGAAATATCCAGGTTCTCGGCCAGGCGCAGTGGCTCAGGCCTGTAATCTCAGCACTTTGGGAGGCCAAGGAGGGTGGATCACGAGGTCAAGAGATGGAGACCGTCCTGGCTAACACGTTGAAACCCCGTCTCTACTAAAAATACAAAAAAAAAAAAAATTAGCCGGCCGTGGTGGTGGGCACCTGTAGTCCCAGCTACTTGGGAGGCTGAGGCTGGAGAATGGCCTGAACCCAGGAGGCGAAGTTTGCAGTGAGCCGAGATTAAGCCACTGCACTCCAGCCTGGGCAACAGAGCGAGGCTCTGTCAAAAAAAAAAAAAAAAAAAAAGAAAAAGAAAAAGAAAAGAAAAGAAAAGAAAGAAACCCCATCTCCACTAAAAATACAAAAAATTAGCCGGGCGTGGTGGCGGTCGCCTGTAGTCCCAGCTACTCGGGGGGCTGAGGCAGGAGAATCGCTTGAACCCGGGAGGAAGAGCTTACAGTGAGCCGAGATGGCGCCACTGCACTACAGGCTGGGCGACAGAGCGAGACTCTGTCAAAAAAAAAAAAAGAAAAAGAAAAAGAAAAAAAGAAAATAGAAAAAGAAATATCCAGGTTGTCACATTAGGACTGACTCGGCAAACAACTCTACCCACAGGGAATGAAGAAAAGCAGAGTGGGGTGATGGACCACCTAGGAACAGCATGGAGCCAAAAGAACTCCCGCCTCCAGCCAAGGGATGCAGTGAGTGATTCTGTGTCTCTGCCTCAGAAACCATGCTTCTCCTACGAATCTTTGCAACCAAAGAATCAGGATATCCCCTCATGAGCTCATGCCACCAGGGCCTTGGGTCTGATACACAGAGCTGTATTAAGTCTTGGCAGAGCAGCCACTCAGACACACACAGAGACCCAGGAGCTTTACATATTCCTGCCTCAAGATCCCTGGAAAAGTGTGAGATCCATTTGTACATACCCCTGGGAAGGGGCCTGAGTCCAGGGAGACAATCAGCATCGTTCTGCAGGTCCCACTTCCACAGCACCTCACAAGTTATGACCCACTGGCTTGGAATTCCAGCCAGACAACAACAAGAACCTGGAGTCTGCCTGAGATGGGACTGAGATCCTGCGCGGAGGGGAGGCCACCATATCTGTGGTTTGGTAGATTCAGCTATTCTAGCCTGCCAGCTTTGGAGAATCCAAATGGCCAGATGAGAAGGGGTTCCCCACAATGCAACACAGGAGCTTTACCAGTTAGTGGCCAGACTGCTTATTTAAGCAGGAACCTGATCCATTCCTCACTCTGTGGGGGATTTAGCCACTGTAGCCAGAGTTATAGGAACAGAGCTCTGATCTTTCCCTTGGGAGGAGCTCCTGGTGGGGAGGGGTGGCCATCATCTCTGCAGTTTGGTGGACTCAGCCGTTTCAGCCTGCCAGCTTTGGAGAGTTCAAATGACCCAGACGAGGAAGGGTCCCCTGCAATGCATCACACCTGCTCTCCCAAAAAGCAGCCAAGGTGCTTCTTTAAGCAGAACCCTGATCCTGTTTCTCCATACTGGGTGAGTTTTCCCAACAGGGATCTCCAGCCACCTCCTGCAGGCATATTTGGGCTGGCAACAAGTCAGTACCCCCCTGGGATGGAGCTTCCAGAGGAAGGAGCAGGATGCCATCTTTGCTTTTACACAGCCTTCATTGGTAATACCTCCAGGTATGGGAAAAACCAAGATAACCAGGGTCTGGAGCAGAACCCCAGCAAACCACAGCAGCTCTGTAGAACAATGGCCTGACTGCTAAAAGGAAAACAAACAGAAAACATCAACAAATAACCCCCCACAAAAACCCCATTAGAAAGTCAGCAACTTCAAAGATCGAAGGTAGATAAGCCCACAAAAATGAGAAAGAATCAGTGCAAAAATGCTGAAAACTTACAAAGCTAGAGTGCCTCTTATCTTCCAAATGACCACAACAGTTCTCTAGCAAGTGCACAGAGCTGGGCTGCATTAGTTAGGGTTCTCTAGAGAGACAGAAATAATAGGATAGATATGTATACATAAAGGGGAGTTTATTAGGTAGTATTAACACACATGATCACAAGGTCCCACAATAGGTCATCTGCAAGCTAAGGAGCAACAAAGGCAGTCCGAGTCCCAAAGCTGAAGTACTTGGAGTCCAATGTTTGAGGGCAGGAAACATCCAGCACAGGAGAAAGATGTAGGCTGGGAGGTTAAGCAAGTCTAACCTTTTCACATTTTTCTGCCTACTTTTATATTCTGGCTGTGCTGGCAGCTGATTAGATGGTGTCCGCCCAGATTAAGATTGGGCCTGCCTTTCCCAGACTACTGACTCAAATGTTAATCTCCTTTGGCAACACTCTCATAGATACACCAAGGATCAATACTTTATATCCTTCAATCCAATCAAGTTGACACTCAGCATTAACCATCACATGGGCTGAGGGGGAGATGGCTGAATTGACAGAAGTAGGCTTCAGAAAGTGGGTAATAACAAATTGTGCTGATCTAAAGAAGCATGTTGTAACCCAATGCAAAGAAGCTAAGAATCATGATAAAACAATACAGGAGCTGATAGTCAGAATAGCCAGTTTAGAGAGGAACATTACCGACTCAATGGAGCTGAGAAACATAACACAAGAACTTGACAATTTAATTACAAGTATAAATAGCAGAATAGACCAAATGAAGGGAAGAATCTCAAAGCATGAAGACTATCTTTCTGAAATAAGACAGTCAGACAAGAATAGAAAAAAAAAACAATGAAAAGGAATAAACAAACCCTCTGAAAAATATGGGATTATGTAAAGAGACCAAACCTATGACTGATTGGGGTACCTGAAAGAAACAAGAAATATGGAACCAAGTTTGAAAACATACTTGAGGATATCATCCAAGATAACTTTCCCAACCTAGCAATACAGGCCAACATTCAAATTCAGGAAATTTAGATCAACCCAGTAAGATACTCCATGAGATGATCAACCCCAAGACACATAATCATCAAATTCTCCAAAGTTGAAATGAAAGAAAAAAATGTTAAAAGCAGCCAGAGAGAAAGGCCAGGTCACCTACAAAGGGGAACCCATCGAACTAACAGCAGACCTCTTAGTGGAAACCCTACAATCCAGAAGAAATTGGGGGCCAATAATCAACATTATTAAAGAAAATAATTTCCAATTTCATGTCTGCCCAAACTAAGCTTCATAAGCAAAGGAGAAATAAGATCCTTTTCAGACAAGCAAGTGCTTAGGGACTTTGTCACCATCAGGCCTGCCTTGCAAGAGCTTCTGAAATAAGCACTAAGCATGGAAAGGAAAAACATTACCAGCCACTGCAAAAACACACTGAAGTACACAGTGCAGTCACACTATGAAGAAACCACATAAACCAGTCTGCAAAATAACAAGCTATCATTATGATGACAGAATCAAATTCATACATAACAATACTTACTTTAAATGTAAATGGGCTAAATGCCCCAATTAAAAGACATAGAATGGAAAGAATGTTAGATAAAAATTCTAGACCCATCAGTATGCTATAAGAGAACTATCCAACACTTGCTCAAAATAAAGGGATGAAAGAAAATTTACCAAGCAAATGGTAAACAGAAAAAAGCAGGGGTTGCAATCCAAGATTCCAGCAAATAGACTAAATCATTGAAGAGCAAAAAAGATAAAGAATGGCATTACATAATGGTAAAGGGTTTAATTCAACAAGAAGAGCTATCACAATTATATATATATATATATGTGTGTGTGTGTGTATATATGTATGTGTATATATATGTGTGTGTGTGTGTGTATATATACATATATATATATATCTCCAATACGGGAGCACCCAGATTCATAAAGCAAGGTCTTAGACACCTACAAAGAGACTTAGATACCCAGACAATAATAGTGGGAGAATTTAGTGCCCCACTGACAATATTAGATCATTGAGACAGAAAATTAACAAAGATATTTAGGACACAAACTGAGCTCTGGATCAAGCGGACATGATAGATATCTACAGAAATTGCCACCCCAAAACAATAGAATATACATCTTCTCATCATCACATGGCACTTACTCTAAAACTGATCACATAATCAGAAGTAAAACATTCCTCAGCAAATGCAAAAGAATGGAAATCATAACAAACAGTGTCTCAAGTGAAAATTAAGATAGCAGATTGGAGGCAGAACTAGCTTGCAGCTCCTGCTCGGATGGACAGGGCAGTGTTTGGAGACTCACATCATAAACTTTTGCTCCAAGAACTACCAAGGAAAATACTGAGAAAGCTGAGAGAATCCACAGACCCTTTGAAGGAACTGGATTATCACTGCAGGCTCCCTGAGATGCCAAATAACTGACCACAGCTGATGCACACTTGAAAGTGCACCTCCTGGCTGGAGGCCAACCAACACAAAACCAGTACACAACCAAGCACTGCAGACCTGAAGATGGATCACATCACAAGACCCTTTGCAAACACTCTCCAGTAGCAGCCGGGAGCCTGGTAGCTCTGCTGGGTAGCTAGACCCAGAAGAGCAAAAACAGTCACTACAGTTAAGCTCTCAGGATGTCCCATTCTTAAGGGAAGGAGGAAAACACCACATCAAGAGAGCACCCATGGAACAGAAGAATCTGACCAGCAGACCTTGAATCCCAGATCTTTTCTCTGACATAGTCTACCCAAAATAAAAACAAACCAGAAAAATAATTCTGGTAATATGGCAAAACAATGTTCTTTAACATCCCCAAAATATCATACCAGCTCACCAGCAACATATCCAAACCAAAACATAATCTCTGAATTACCAGAAAAAGAATTCAGATGGTTGATTATTAAGCTAATAAAGGAGGCACCAAAGACAGGTAAAGTCCAACTTAAAGAAATCAAAAATATGAACAGTATATAAAAGGAAAATTATTCCGTGAAATAGGTAGTATAAATTTAAAAAAAAAAATCACAGCTTCTAGAAATCACAGACACATTTAGAGAAATGCAAAATGAACTGAAAAGTTTCAGCAATAGAATTGAACAAGCAGAAGATAAAACGTCAGAGTTTGAAAACAAGACTTTCAAATTAACCCAATCTGTCAAAGACAAAGAAAAAAGAATAAAAAGAAATGAACGAAGACTCCAAGTAGTTTGGGATAATGTTAAATGTCTAAACCTAAGAATAATTTCTGTTCCTGAGGAAGAAGAGAAATCTAAATGTTAGAAAAACATATTTGAGGGAATAATTGAGGAAAACTTCCCTGGCCTTGCTAGAGATCTAGACATGCAAATACAAGAAGCTCAAAAAAAAACAAAACAAAAACAAAACAAAAAAAACTTGGGAAATTCATCACAAAATGATCATCACCTAGGCACATGGTCATTAGGTTATCTAAAGTCAAGACGAAGAAAAGACTCTTAAGAGTTGTGGGTCAAAAGCATCAGGTAACCTATAAAGGAAAAAGCTATCAGATTAACAGCAGGTTTATCAGCAGAAACCCTACCTGCTAGAAGGGATTTGAGTCCTATTTTTATTTTTAGCCTCTTTAACAAAACAATTATCCACCAAGAATTGTGTATCCAGAGAAACTAAGCTTCATAAATGAAGGAAACGTACAGTCTTTTTCACACAAACAAATGCTGAGAGAAGTCACCACTACCAAGCCAGTACTACAAGAACTACTAAAAGAAGCTCTAAATGTTGAAACAAATCCTCAGAATACACCAAAGTAGAACCTTCTTAAAGCATATATCTCATAGAACCTATATAACAGTAACAAAATTTTTAAAAAAAAAAAGAAAAACAAGGACAACAAGATATTCAGGCAACAAATAGCATGATGATCACAATAGTATCTTACATCTCAATACTAACATTGAATGTAAATGGTCTAAATGCTCCACTTAAAATACAGAATGACAGAATGGATACAAATTCACCGACTAAGTTTCTGCTGTCTTCACAAGACTTACCTAACACATAAAGACTCACATAAACTTAAGATAAAGGGGTGGAAAAAGATACTCCATTTAAATGGACACCAAAACTAGCAGGAGTAGCTATTCTTAAACAAAATGAATTTTAAAGCAACAGCAGTTACCAAAAAAGGGACATTATATAATGACAAAAAGGCTAATTCAACAGGAAAATATCACAATTCTAAACATATATGCACCTAACACTGGAGCTCCCAAATTTATAAAATGATTAATACTATACCTAAGAAATGAGACAGACAGAAACACAGTAATTGTGTGTGTGTGTGTGTGTGTGTGTGTGTGTATGTGTGTGTGTGTGTGGTGGGGGCAGATTTAATACTCCACTGACAGCACTAGACAGGTCATTAAGACATAAAGTCAACAAAGAAACAATGGACTCAAACTATACCCTACAAAAAATGGACTTAAGAGATATTTACAGAACATTCTACCCAACAACTGCAGAATATACATTCTATTCATCAGCACATGAAATAATCTCTAAGATAGACCATATGATAGGCCACAAAACAAATCTCAGTAAATTTAAGAAAACCGAAATTACATCAAGTACATTCTCAGATCAGACCACAGTGAAATAAAATTGGAAATCAACTCCAAAAAGAATCCTCAAAACCATGCAAATACATGGAAATTAAATGGCCTGTTCCTGAATAATCATTGGGTCAACAATGAAATCAAGATGACAATTTAAAAATTCTTTGAACTGAATGATAATAGTGACACAACATATGAAAACCTCCAGGATAGACCAAAAACAGTGCTAAGAGGAAAGTTCATAACATTAAATGCCTACACCCAAGTTTAAAAGAGCACAAATAGACAATCAAAAGTCACACATCACAGAACTGGAAAAACAAAAACAATCCAAATCTAAATGCAGCAGAAGAAAAGAAATAATGAGATCAGAGTAGAACTAAATGAAATTGAAACAAAAAAAATACAAAAATATAAATGAAACAAAAAGCTGATTCTTTGAAAAGATAAATAAATTGATATACCATTGGTGAGATTAACCAAGACAAGAAGAGCAAAGATCTAAATAAGCTCAATCAGAAATGAAACAGGAGATATTACAACAGATACCACAGAAATAAAAAAGATTATTCTAGGCTACTGTGAACACCTTTATGCACATAAACTAGAAAACCTAGAAGAGATGGATAAATTTCTGGAAATATACAACCCTCCTAGATTAAACTAGGAAGATATACAATCTCCGAACAGACCAATAACAGTGAGATTGAAATGGTAATTAAAAAATGCCAACAACAACAAACAAAATCCAGGACTAGACGGATTCACAGCAGAATTCTATCAGACATTCAAAGAAAAATTGATTCCAACCCTATACCAAAAAATAGAAAAAGAGGAAATCCACCCTAAATCATTCTACAAGGCCAGTATCACCCTAATACCAAAACCAGAAAAGGACATGATAAAAAATGAAAACTACAGACCAATATCCCTGAAGAACATAGATGTAAAAATCTTCAACAAATTGCAGCATATCAAAAAGATAATCCACCATGATCAAGTGGGTTTCATACAATGATGTAGGGATGGTTTAACATACATAATAAATGTAATAAACCACATTAAAAAATTCAAAATAAAAATTATGTGATTATCTCAATAGATACACACACAAAAAAGGATTTTACAAAATCCAGCATTCCCTTATGATTAAAAGCCTCAGCAAAATCTGTGTAGACAGGACATACCTTAAAGTAAGAAAAGCCATTTGCGACAAACCCACAGCCAACATTATACTGAACAGGGAAAGTTGAAAGCATTTCCCTTGAGTACTGGAACAAGACAAGGATGCCCACTTTCACAACTTCCATTTAACATAGTACTGGAAGTCCTAGCCAGAGCAATCATATAAGATAAAGAAATAAAGGTCATCCAAATTGGTAAAGAGGAAGTCAAGCTGTCACTGTTTGCCGATGATATAATTGTAAACCTAGGAAACCCTAAAGACTCAACCAAAAAGCTCCTAGAACTGGTAAATAAATTCAGCAAAGTTTCAGGATACAAAATTAATGTACACAAATCAGTAGCTCTGGTATACACCAACAGTGACCAAGCTGAGAAGCAAATCGAGAACTCAACCCCTTTCACAATAGCTGCAAAAAGTGGAAAAAAAAAAAAACAACTTGGAAATATACCTAACCAAGGGTGTGAAAGACCGCTACAAAGAAAACAAAACACTGATGAAATAACTCATAGATGACACAAACAAATT
This sequence comes from Homo sapiens, assembly GCF_000001405.40. Taxonomy (NCBI): domain Eukaryota; kingdom Metazoa; phylum Chordata; class Mammalia; order Primates; family Hominidae; genus Homo; species Homo sapiens. The sequence continues at coordinate 135,629,033 of NC_000004.12, read as the reverse complement.
GAAACACATCTAATGCTCATGGATGGATAGAATTAATATTGTAAAAATGACCATACTGACAAAATCTACAAATTCAATGCAATTCCCATCAAAAAACCACCATCATTCTCCACAGAACTTGAAAAAACCATCCCAAAATGCATATGGAACCAAAAAAGAGCCCTCATAGTCAAAGCAAGACTAAGCAAAAAGAACAAATCTGGAGGCATCACATTACCCGACTTCACACTATACTATAAGGCCATAGTCACCAAAACAGCATGGTGCTGGTATAAAAGTTGGCACCTAGACCAATGGAACAGAATAGAGAACCCATAAATAAAGTCAAATACTTACAGCCAACTGATCTTTGACAATACAAACAAAAACATTAAGTGGGGAAAGGAGACCCTATTTGACAAATGGTGCTGGGGTAACTGGAAAGCCACATGTAGAAGAATGAAACTGGATCTTCACCTCTTATTTTATATAAAAATCAACTCAAGATAGATCAAAGACTTAAATGTAATACTTGAAACCATAAAGATTCTAGAAAATAACATCAGAAAGACCCATTTAGACACTGACTTAGGCAAATACTTCATGACGGAGAACCCAAAAGCAAACACAACAAAAACAAATATAAGTACATGGGACTTAATTAAACTAACAAAATTCTTCACAGCAAAAGAAATATTCAGCAGATCTAACAGACAACCCACAGAGTGGGAGAAAATCTTCACAATCTATACATCCAACAAAGGATGAATATCTAGAATCTACAAAGAACTTAAATAAATCAACAAGAGAAAAACAAACAATCTCATCAAAAAGAGGGCTAAGGACATAAATAAATTTTCAAAAGAAGATATACAAGTGGCCAACAAACATATGGAAAAAATTCTCAACATCACTACTTATCAGGGAAATGCAAATCAAAACCACAATGTGATACCACCTCACTCCTGCAAGTATGGCCATAATAAAAAAAAAATGTTGATATGGATGTGGTGAAAAGGAAACAATTTTACACTGTTGATGGGAATGTAAACTACTATAACCACTATGGAAAATTTGGAGATTCCTTAAAAACTAAAAGTAGATCTACCATTTGATCCAGCAATCCCACTAGTAGGTGTCAACCCAGAGGAAAAGAAGTCATTATATGAAAAATATACTTTCACGTGCATGTTTATAGCAGCACAATTTGTAATTGCAAAAATATGAAACCAGCCCAAATGCCCATCAATCAATGAATAAAGCAAATGTGATATATATATATCATATTTATATATAAAAATAAAAACGTTCAACATATTGTGTGTGTATGTGTGTGTGTGTGTGTGTGTGTGTGTGTGTATATATATATATATATATATATATATATATATATATATATATATGATGGTACATTACCCAGCCATAAAAATGAATGAAATAATGGCATTTGCAACACCTGGATGAAATTGGAGACTAATATTCTAAGTGAAGCAACTCAGGAATAAAAACCAAACATCGTATGTTCTTGCTCACATGTGGGAGCTAAGCTCTGAAGATGCAAAGGCATAAAAATGACAGAATGGATTTTTGAGACTGAGAGGAAAGAGTGGGCAAAGGGTGAGGGATAAAAGACTATACATTGGGTACAGTGTACACTGCTAGGGTGATAGGTGCACGAAAATCTCAGAAATCACCACTAAAGAACTTATTCATGTAACCAAACACCACCTGTTTCCCAAAAACCTACTGAAATTAAAAAAATAATAAAAACTGTCTCTCAGATCACAGCACAATCAAATTAGAACTCAAGATTAAGACATTCACGCAAAACCACACAACTACATAGAAATTGAATGACCTGCTCCTGAAAGACTCTTGGGTAAATAATGAAATTAAGGCAGAAATCAAGTTATTTGAAAATAATGAGAAAAAGGAGACAATGTACCAGAATCTTTGGGATACAGCTAAAGCAGTGTTAAGAGAGACATGTATAACACGAAATGCCCACATCAAAGAGCTAGAAGGACCTCAAGTTAATAACCTAACATCAAAACCAAAAGAACTAGAGAACCCAGAGCAAACAAACCCCAAAGCTAGTAAAGGCAATAAATAACCAAGACCAGAACTGAACTGAAGGAGATAGAGACACAAAAAACACTTCAAAAATATCAATGAATCCAGGAACTGGTATTTTGAAAAAAATTAATAGACCACTAGCTAGACTGATAAAGAAGAAAAGAGAGAAGAATCAAATAAACACAATCAGAAATGATAACTAGGTTATCAACACGGCCCTCACAGAAATACAAACAACCAACAGAGAATAGTATAAACAAATACCTCTATACATTTAAACTAGAAGATCTAGAAGACATGGATAAACTTCTCGATACATACACCCTTCCAAGAGTGAACCGGGAAGAAATTAAATTTTTGAATAGACTAAAAATGAGTTCTGAATTTAGGCAGTAACAAATAATCTACCAACCATAAAAAGCCCAGGACCAGAGGGATTCACAGCTGAATTCTACCAGAGGTACAAAGAAGAGCTGGTACCATTTCTACTGAAACTATTTCAGAAAATTGAAAAAGAGAGACTCCTCCATAACTCATTCTATGAGACCAGCATCATCCTGACACCAAAACCTGGCAGACATGCAACAACAACAACAAAAACTTCAGACCAATATATTGATGAACATCGATGCAAAAATCCTCAATAAAACATTGGCTAACTGAAACCAGCAGCACCTCAAAAAGCTTATCCACCACCTAGTTTCATCCCTGGGATGCAAGATTGGCTCAACATATGCAAATCAATACATGTGATTCATCACATAAACAGAACTCAAGCAAAAACCACATGAATATCTCAATAGATGCAGAAAAGGCCTTTGATAAAATTCAACATACCTTCATGCTAAAAACTCTCAATAAACTATGTATTGAAAGAACATACATCAAAATAATAAGAACCATCTATGCAAACCCACAGCCAACATCATACTGAATGGGCAAAAGATGGAAGCATTCCCCTTGAAAACCAGCACAAAACAAGGATGGCCTCTCTCAGCACTTCTATTCAACATAGTATTGGAATTTCAGGCCAAAGCAATCAGGCAAGTGAAAGAAATAAAGCATATTCAAATAGGAAGAGAGGAAGTCAAATTATCTATAATTCTATATCTAGGAAATTTCATCATCTTGGCCCAAAATCTTCTTAAGCTGATAAACAACTTTAGCAAAATCTCAGGATACAAAATCAATGTGCAAAAATTGCTAGTATTCCTATATACGAATAACAGGCAAACAGAGAGCCAAATTATGAATGAACTCTTATTCTCAATTACTACAAAAATAAAAAAAAATACCTAGGAATACATCTCACAAGGGAAATGAAGGACCTCTTCTAGGAGAACTACAAACCACTGCTCAAAGAAATCAGAGAGGGCAGAAACAAATGGAAAACATTACATGCTCATGGATAAAAGAATCAATATCATGAAAATGGCCATACTGACCAAAGTAATTTATACATTTAATGCTATTATCATTAAAGTAACAATGACATTCTTCTCAGAATTAGAAAAGACTATGTTAAAATTCATATGAAACAAAAAAGAACCCAAATAAACAAGACACTCTTAAGTAAAAAGAAAAAGCTGGAAGCATCATGCTACTTGACTCCAAACTATACAACAAGGCTTCAGTAACCAAAACAACATGATACTGGTAGAAGAACAGACACATAAACCAATGGAACAGAATAGAGAACTCAGAAATAAGACTTCACACTTATAACCATCTAGTCTTCAACCAAAAAAAAAATCATTGAGGAAAGAGTTCCATATTTAATAAGTGGTGCTGGGAGAACTGGCTAGCCATAGGCAGAAAACTGCTACTGGACCCCTTTTGTTACATCATATACAAAAATTAACTCAAGATGAATTGTAGACTTAAATGTAAGACTTAAACATATAAAAAATCCTAGAGGAAAATCTAGGCAATAGCATTCATGACATTAGGCATGGGAAAAGATTTCATGATGAAAACATCAAAAGAAATTATAATAAAAGCGAAAATTGACAAATGAGAGCTAATTAAACTAAAGAGCTTGTGCACAGCAAAAGAAACTATCATTAGGGATAACAGACAACCTACAGAATGGGAGAAAAATTTGCAATCTATCTATCTGACAAAGGTCTAATATCCAAAGTCTACAAGGAAAAAATTTACAAGAAAAAAGCAAACAACCCCATTAAAAAGTGGGCAAAGGACATGAACAGACTTCTCAAAAGAAGTTATACAAGCGACCAACAAACATGGAAAAAAAAAGCTCCAACATCACTGATCATTAGAGAAATACAAATCAAACCCTCAATGAGATACCATCTCACACCAGTCAGAATGGCTATTATTAAAAAGTCAAAAAACAACAGATGCTGGCAAGGTTGTAGAGAAAAAAGAATGGTTTTACCCTGTTGGTGGGAGTATAAATTAGTTCAATCATTTTGGATGACAGTGTGGTGATTCCTCAAATACCTACAGGCAAAAATATATTTGACCCAGCATTCCTATTACTGGGTATATACACAAAAGAATATAAATCATTCTATTATAAGATACATGTAGATGTATGTTCATTGCAGCACTAGTCACAATAGCAAAGACATGGAATCAACCTAAATGCCTGTCAATAATAGGCTGGATAAAGAAAATGTGGTACATATATACCATGGAATACTATGCAGCCATAAAAAGGAATGAGATCATGTACTTTGCAGGGACATAGATGGAGCTGGAAGTTAGTATCCTCAGCAAAGTAATGCAGAAACAAAAAACCAAATACCACATATTCTCACTTATAAGTGGGAGCTGAACAATGAGAACACATAAACATATGGCAGGGAATAGCACAAATGGTCCTTTTGGTGGGGGTTGAGGGAAGGGAAAGTATCCGGAAGAATAGCTAATGCATGCTGGGCTTAATACCTAGGTGATGGGATGATCTATGCAGCAAACCACCATGGCACATGTTTATTTATGTAAGAAACTTGCACATCCTGCACATGTACCCCTGAACTTAAAAGTTGAAGAAAAAATAATTATTTGAGGCATAGGAGTGATATAGAAGACCGTAAAAGAATAATGTTATTATATACAAAAAAGAAAAAAAGTAAAAACTGGCAGGTGCTTAAAAACAAAATTATATGATCAGTATTAATCAATTACATTGTAAAGCAATCTTGACATTGCTCATAGAGCCTAGATTATTCAGTTCTTTAAATATGATATAGAAGTCCTTAATACACTTGAGGAGTTATGCCATCATTATGAAAGCAACATAGATGCAATAGCTTGATCCCTAATTATGTAAAAAAAAGATTGTATTGCTAAATACATATTATAAACTGAGTATTGTAAAATATGCCTGACTGCACCAAAAATAATTTCTTCTATTTAAACTTCTCGTAAGTAAATTTAAAATAACAAGTTGTCAAGGAGAAATACTTTACAACTAAGTGATTAATGGCATTTTTGGTTTCTTATACCCACCTCATTTATTTCTTCTTTCCTTTCTGATGTGTTCATTCTGGCCAGAAATTATTCAGAAATAAATGTCAATTAAAATTACTAATAAGTGAATTTTTAAAGGACTAATACATTAATTTTATGTTATTCTGCATCTAACTTTCTTACATCAAAATGACAAGAATATTTATGGCTACTAAGCTTAAGATATTGTTTGAATTTATCATGTATTTTGAGAATTTCATTAAAGTTGCACCAGCTGGTCTACAGTATAAAGTAGCCATATATTCTTTCTTTGGATTTTTTTTCCTCTAATGAAATTAAAGTATTTACAATTTTAATCAGAGTTATACTTCCAAAAGTTAGGTAGATAAAATATACTTTGTTTAATCTTAACTTCTAAAATAACAAACTGATGAACAAAGATACAAACACATCATCCTTCTGTTAATTATGCTTTCTGTGTTTCTTCAAAGGTAACGTGAGGAGTAAGGTGTATTTAATCATTGGACTTAACAATTACAAAAATTCAGACAAATGTTCTCCCTTCAAGTTTTGCCTTTTAAAATACAAAATCTATCATTCCTTCCCTGTAAGAAGGAATGTGGTTTAGGCTGTGGTTACTTTACATAAGAACTCACTGTATTTACTTCACATTGAATTATAAGCTTTAGCATCAAATAAGAATCAAGGATTTGTTGAGAAACAGGAAGCACATGACTGTAAATAAATAAATAAATTGTGTAAAGAGAAATGCTGGTAGTTTTATCCTAGTTGGACTAATAAGAATATAAAATAGTAAAACCCCTGCATCCCTGGATCACAAACACACACACACACACACACACACACACACACACACACACAATAGATGATGATGATAGACAGATAGATGATAGATAGATAGATAGATAGATAGATAGATAGATAGATAGATAGACTTTCACCAATTCATGGAGCCAACTCAGTCCTAACACCTAGCAAGAGGGCAAGACCCACAGAACCACCACCACCCCTCTGTCAGCAGGAAGCATTTACAGAAGACCAACCTTCAGCCATTTTCCCCCAAATATTTGGGGTCTTGGACTCTTTAGGAGGGAAATGTTGCAGTAGGTAGCTAGTCAGGTATGAGCAGCGCAGGAGAGGGCTTCCTCCACACACATACTAGGAGTGTTGGGCGTCAGGTGGTTGTGGTTAACCATTTAGCTAAAGAAATAATTGATCACAGCTGGTACCAGGGAACGCAATCTCCTACTACATAGAAAACACCTGAAACTGATCAGTAGCTTCCCAGTAAAATCCCAGAAGTACGCCAATGTATAAAAAGCCCAAGTCAAGCGGTCAGGCTCTGCACTTGGTTTCTCAGGTCTCCTGCCTGGCCCTCTTTCAAGTTGCACTTCCCTTCTTTTCTTTCCTTCCTTTCCTTGTTGTTCTAAAGCTTTTTAATAAACTTCCATTCCTGCTTCGAAATATACATGTAAAATATATATAATATGTGCGTGTGTTTAATAGGAATTCTCCATGGATAGTATATAGGAAAAACATAATACTTTACGAAAAGAGGATTGAACATGAAGAATTATAGAAATGATCTATTACAATATAATAATAGATATGAAATATGTGAAATAAATCTATAATCTTAAAAAGTGTATTTGAGATTTGTTTAATCTCAAACATTTCAATGTAGATATGATTTACAAAGTAAAATGTATAAATATAAAAATATAACCTTAGAATTTTCATGAATACTGTGGTTTAGAACATCCTTTAATTGTCTCTGATGTTGTTTCTCACAACTTTCCCCTGACATATTATTAAAGACAAGCAAAACATATCAATCCATTAAAGTTCTTAAAATTAAAAGTCACAATTCACATCTTTCCAGGACCTAAGAATAATATTTTAGGTCATACGCGACAATAAAATGTACTAAAAGTTTTAGTACGTTATTTGCTTATGTTTTGATTACTTTTTCCCAGAGGTTATACAATGAGATGTTAACTCTTTCACTGTTAGCTACATGGCTCAGAGACTCACATCTGTAGCAACCAGAAATGTCATATTGGTGCTGTATGAACATTATTTTGGGTGAGACTACATTATTGTAAATTTTATATCACCCTCTCTCCATTATAATAATAATATTACTATTTTTATGTCTATATATAATTCACAGAAAGAAATAATTTAAAATATAATGGAGAATTAAAATTGGAGGAATAATTTAAAATATAATGGAGAATTAAAATTTGGAGAGAAAATTTGTATGACTAAAACTTTGAGAAATGCTTAATACATCCTGGAGTTGAGGACTTACACGTGCTCAACAAATTCAGAGGGTCAGATATTAATGCATTTGCTTTAGAAAACAAAATAGGGACATGAGATCTAAAAAGGCTTACTGGATGCATTTTTTCCAGGTATTGAAAATTAGTCTAGAAATTAGAACTTTCTCTTTAGCTGTAGATTATAAAAGCACATTCAAGCAGTACTGAAAAACAAAGAGAGAATTAAAAATACCACCTTTTATACTTGAAAGAGTTAATGAACAATAACATATTTAATATATGTATACTTGGAATGCAAGCCAAGCCATATCACATTAAGCCCTGTAGCTACCAATACACTGTTTTCATCACCTCATCCCTTTGTTAAATCTTAACCTTTGCTCTTTCTTAATAAATCAGGATAATCTTGTTCATTCTCAAAGTGTTTTAATTGGAATTATATTGATCTACAGATCCATTTAAGAAAACCCGTTATAAAAAATATTAGTTTTCCTATTTATGATTGTGATATATCTTTTTATTTATTCATTTTTTTTTTTTTGAAACTGAATCTCGCTCTATCGTCCAGGCTGGAGTGCAGTGGCACAATCTTGGCTCACTGCAACCTCCGCCGCCTGGGTTAACGCGATTCTCCTGCCTTGGCCTCCTGAGAAGCTGGGACTACAGGTGCGTGCCACCATACCAGGCTAATTTTTGTTATTTTTAGTAGAGATGGGGTTTCACCATATTGGCCAGGCTGGTCTGCAACTCCTGACCTCAAGTGATCTGCCTACCTTGACCTTCCAAAATGCTGGGATTACAGGCATAAGCCACCACACCTGGCCTTTATTCAATTTTTAATTACTCCAATAAAGGGGAAATATAGATGTATTCATGATAGAAGTATTATATCTCTTAGGCTTGATTTGTTCCCATATCATATAAATTTTGTGTTTATTTTAGTAATTATTCTTAAAAGTAATGTTTCTGTTTGTTAGGGTATATAGAGTATGTACCATGTATCACTAAAGTTACTATGAACTGAAATACTTTTTTTGAGCTATCATATTGCCAAATTGCCAGTGTCATTAAACATAAGAAATGCAAATGGTAAATTTGTAATCCTAATTGAGGATGACTTAGTAGACTCTAAAAAGATAATGCATTGACATACTCTTTGCTGTCTATAAATATGGAGCTTATTCAATTATAGCGCATAATGAGATATCATACAGCTTAAACTATCTGTATTGACTATTTTTGTGTATTGAGAAGGAAGACTCTCTAAGATATATTATTAAGTGAAACAGTGAAGAGCAGATTGTATGACATGCTACGGTTTTGTGAAGATATTTTCATATTTTTTCTTCTCTATCTAAAATTTAGCTGGGTTACCTCGAGAAAGAGGAATTCAGTGACTAATGAGCAAGAGAGGGAGACTTTTCACTATATATTCTTTTGTATCAACCCAAATTTTAAATATATTACCTATTCAAAACACATGATATGTCTCCCATTGTTTCTATTGAAAATTATTTTTACAAATAGAAAGATGAGAAGATTATAAGTTGAAATAATGGAGAACATAATTATATAAAATAATCTGGGTCAAGAAATAGTAAATAGTTGCAGAATAATTAATACTGTACTAAAACTGTACAGAACAGAATTCACACTGTAAAATAGTGGATCAGGAATCTTGATCTTGTTTTGTAAAAAGAAAAACTTTTATACTATTCAAAAATCTGGATAAAAGGTAAAGAAAAGGAAAGGATGAAAAATAAAAACTTTTGAGTGTGGAAGATAGAAATATAAACTAAATTTGTGAGTGTTCACAAATGTAACATATTATTGAATAAAACTTTTATTTATTTTTCTAAAATTGGCAATGAGTACCCAAAGCTTAAGATAAAAACTCATCACTTACTTCATATATATGACAAAGCTTCAAGAGAGGCACTGACAATCAGGTATACAGGGCTTTTCCAGGGCTGTATCAAAGTCTTCCCTTGTCCACTCTGCCACCACCGGTATCTACATACAGGGACACTGGAGAAGAGGCAGGAGGTGGGATGGGGTTGGTGATCTGTGGAATTGGGCCACTGTCCTAGTTGGAAAGGTTGTGGTTTCCATAAAGGGAGCTTATTTTTCAGATACACTTTCAATTCAGAAGAGGCTGGCTATTCTCCAAAAGACTAATTTGAAGAGATTAAAAGCGCCTTCAAGAATGGAAGTCTGCCATTTAGTTTCCCAGCTTAAAGTCAGCTTACCCACAGGCATTGATTAGCTGCTCCATTATCTATCTGAAAAGGTTGGAAAAACAACTGACAAAAAATAGCAAAATAAAGACATTAATCAGCACCAGGATGTCCTGCTTTCTCTCATCCTTTGTCACAGAAAGATGTGTCATTTTTTCTTGGATCTAGAGATACTGAAGAAGAAAGCCTTACTGAATTGTCTTGCTTGTTATGCAATTCAAGGGTATGGCCTGCTTGCTGAGGGACAAACACAGCAGCAAAAGTGTGAGGGGTGAGAGGAGAATAAGTGGTGGAATTGTACCTGCATTTTATTTGCCAAGGAACTGTGCAGTTATATGACTCTGTGGTATCATATAAGACAGGTAGAATTTGAATACTTGCTGTACAGGAGACACTGATTTATAATCAGTGTTAGTTAGACATGCAAGAATAATAATAAAGGATGTAACTAAAAGCAAAAACAGGGAAGTAATATAGAATTTGTTCTTACTAAGCCCGTGAGAAAGGAGTAAATATAGATATTCCTGAAGCAGCCCACACAAACATCCACCTTAGGCTCAAAGAAATTGCACTGGCAGGAGGATTGAAATGACAGAGACAACACCCCCTATTACTCCAAGTCCCTCAAATTACAAGTGTTGCCAGCTCTTAGGAGAAGAAGGGAAGGATTAATTTTAGATAGGACATGAATTTGGCATTTTAAAGTGGTTATTTTATCACTGAACATAATCAAATATGGATTCTGCCCAAAATGTCTTCAGGGGTCAGAAATTAACATTCTGAAGAGCATGCTAGAAATCAGTCATTGGAGAAATATAAAACCGTTTCAAGTTTATATACTTCCAAGTTTAGACTGCTAAATAAATCAGTTACCCAAAAAAGAAATAGGAGCAATTGGAGTAGAAATGGTAATATAAACGTGTTTTAGGGGAATAATTAAGACCTGATGAAAAAATCACAAGTTTACCTTCTTTAAAGGGTCAAGGACTTCTTAAAAATTAGTGTACACTACTTGAGATGCGCTTTTGTGTTGTCAAAGTCTGCAAGTATGAACATAAAACTACATAGAGGAAACTCCAGAGGAGAGACAAGAATAAACAGTCAGAGAATGTAAATTAAACAGAAAATACTTGGTAGAGACCACTACCTATTGGTAATTAAGTTTGTGAAGGTGACAAAAATGTACACGAGTGTGTGTGTATCAAAATGTTAAATATTACATTTTTGGTTTAACTAAAACTTTTAGTTAAAGTTCACAGCTAAAAGTTTTAGAAGTTAAGCACCTTTACATTCTAGATAGAACCACCAGATACAACCTCCAGGAATGATCAAAAGGTGGCAGAACTGGTCTTATTATCTTACATAAAGATGAACAATCATGGTGTATTTAAAAAAATACAAAGACAATTGTTAGAGTTGTGAGTGATAGCTTACAATTGTTAGGGAGAAAATGTGCTGAGAGTTTTGACCCACAGACCTTGTTGCAGATAACAAGTGAAAGGGGCTCTCAGAGAATCAACTGCAGAAATCAAGTCTTCATCAAAAAAAGAGACCGTGATGTCAAGCCTTACTTGGATATCTGCTCAGGCAATTGTTATTTGATGATTTTCTTTCTGTACCTATTTGAGGAGCTGAGAGAAAACTCACAAGAAATTTCAAGCCAAAGAAAAGGGGCAACAGGGCAGAGAAAGGATTCAGTAAAATGGCTGCATGAGGCAGATGTCAAATGAGGAAGGTCACAGAGGCTAAGATGTGAATAGTGGTGTGGTGGATGGGAGGATGGAAAGCATTTCTCCTATCAGACAGTCCTGCAGCAGGAATCCCCTCAACCTGCTCCTGAGAATATGGGGAGAAAACCAGATGCCTGCAAGAGCCTTTTTTTTTTTCTATGAGGCAAAACAGTCTGAGAAGCAGAGGAGCTGAAAAACAAAACAAAACGAAGTAGAACAAACAAAATTATTCTTAAAGTCAGTGGTATACTGGTCTGAGTGGAACCAAAAAAAAAAAAAAAACACAAAAGTCTGCATTGTAGCTTTAGCCATTTTTCAAAGTAAATATTCTCATTGTTGCAAATATCAAGATACCAATTTTATGTCCCTGAATATGGAATTGAAAACAAATGCTAACTAATGGCTCTCATCAGTTGATAGGAGAAGGTTTCAGAATATCACTTCCTGAAACTCACCTGACTTGTAGATTTCTTCAACTGCATGGAAGAATACACAGTGGACCATTAAACAGCATGGTTTTTAAATGCAGGGGTGCATTTATATGTGGATTTTCATCTGCCTCTGCCACCTTGAGACAGGAAGACCAACTTCTCTTTTCATCTTCCTCTTCAGCCTGCTCAACATGAAGACAAGGATGAAGACCTTTATTATGATCCAGTTACACTTAATGAACAGTAAATATATTTTCTCTTCCTTATGATTTCCTTAATAACATTTTCTTTTTTCTAGCTTATTTTATTGTAAGAATATGGTATAAAATACATATAATATTTTAAAAAATTATTAATTATTTACGTCATTGTTAAGACTGCTGGTCAATAGTAGGCTCTCGGTAATTTGGTTTTGGTGGAATCAAGTTTTATACATGAAGTTTCGAATGTGCATGGATCTGGGCCTCTAACTCCTGCTTTATTCAAGGGTCAACTGTACTTCCATTATAATTCGAGAATGATGGCCTTATGATTTATTATTCAAACTGGAAAAGTTCTGAGAATGAAGAAGATGAGGCCGGGTGTGGTGGCTTATGCCTGTAATCCCAGCACTTTGGGAGGCTGAGGCGGGTGGATCACGAGCTCACGAGTTCAAGACGAGGCTGGCCAAGTTGGTGAAACCCTGTCTCTACTAAAACTTCAAAAAAATTAGCCAGGCGTGGTGGCGGTGCCTGCAATCCCAGCTACTCGGGAGGCTGAGGCAGGAGAATCAGTTGAACCCAGGAGGTGGAGGTTGCAGTGAGCCGAGATTGCACCATTGTGCTCCAGCCTGGGCGACAGAGTGAGAGTCTGTCTCATAGAAAAAAAAAAAAAGAAAGAAAGAAAGAAAGAAAAAAAAAAGAAGACGATACCATTAATTCTGTTGAGGTACAAGGCTTAAACTGAACTCTCCCGGGCAAACTGAGATTTATGAGATTTATGGCTCCCTAAGGGAGCCAATTTGATTTTGGGTTCTGATAAAAATTATATAATATATCCTCACCGATACTTAGATTTAAGTAATTTAAATATGATTATATTTTACCTGGTAGATATGTAATTCCAAGGCAGGAAAGATAAGATCTGAGAATTTAGATATGCAGAAGCTAATTAACAGCTATATAAAGAGGTCTTATTAGACACTATTTCCACACAATGAAACATTTGTTAAAGCAAAGATCACAGACTGGTAGCCCTATAGACAGTTTGTCAGATACACACATGCTCTGTATAAGCGGCAATGTGTTTAAGGAGTTAAACATATTTATTCTTGAATCTCTATTCAATATTGATACGTGAAGTTCGGATGATCTAGTACGGCTATATGCTATGTCTTCCAATTCTTTCTTACTGAAGACTTGGTTTATTGCATGTTTTATAATTTGGGATTATGAACTAATCCTACCTGTGAGGAACCTGTCTCCTCCAGGGCCCATTTGCTTTTACTACTGCCTGCATGCCTGACACATCACTGGCCTGGGGCCACATTTTATCTTAGATTTTTGGTTGCAGAGTGCCAAGAATGTTCCATGTGGATCATATAAATGTAAATCCCAATTTCTAGGTTTATAGTTATAAATTCGAAGCGGATATTTTAAGATAAGAGCCAGAATACTGCTCCAGGGTAATGGCATCATAAATTCATGCACAACTCTTCTACATTTTTGTTCCTAGAAAGTAACTCTAATTTCTTGAAGTTTCAGATAGTCATTGAAACATATCTCGATATTTGGTAATTTGGAACTTTCAGGATTTTTTTTTATATCACCAAAACTAGAAATAAAAGCTGATATTTAAATTGAATGAATTAAGTCTTCATCTTAAATAAGACTTGAGAGTAGCAGAAAAACATAAAAATATCTCATGTCAAATATTGAGTCAATTTATATGACCAGGTGATAGTCATGCAATGAATAATTTAGCCCAAAGGTTTTCATGGTCAACTTGGATTGATTCAGACTTACTTTTGTAACTAGGATAACCCTACAAATGGCATGGATGTTACGAAATGAGAGAAAGATAGAATGAGTATGTGGGTATGTAACATAATGTCTATTAAGTATAATCAAAAATTTGTGGGTTTTTTGCTTTGTATTATAATATGGGAATAAAGGAGAGAATATTATATATAACCAGAGAGAAAATATAAACTTGTTCCTTACAGAAGAAAGAAAAATTTTAAGTTCATAATACCATAACCAAAATCAGAAGATGATGGAGTATCATCTACTGTGTTTTAAAAGTATTATACAAAGCAATACACCAAAAAAATACCAAGAAACATTGTTATTTGTATTCAAAGGCACAGGAAGTTATTATCACATAATCAAACACTCAGAAGGGAGTCCACTTCTCTATTCATTCTTGAACAAATATTCTCAAATGCATAACACATACAAATGGTTTATTAATAAAATTTATATACTAAGATATAGGATAATCATATTACCAGAGAATATATATGAAACAATGTAAACAAAACTATATAAACTGCAAATAAAGTGATAAGGAAGCCTAAAAATTCAGTTCACTGAAACATTTAATAATGAGGAAGTACATTAAAAATCCAATAAAATTAATATACTGCCACCTCAGCCTGACAGATGACAGGTTTGAAATAAAAGTTACCAATTGATTCATGCTACCTAAGATTCATAGCCTGATAATTGTCAACTAAAGTAGATATTGTCTTTGTATTTGATAATTAGTGTAATCATCTTTGCAAGAACCAATGAAAGCATAACTAAAAGTCATAGAATATAATATACTTTGAGTAAAGTTATGTTTCTGGTATCATTTTTTCAGGAAAACATATATGTCCAATCACTGAAGATTGATGAATGAAATTATGATATTCCTATGGCATGAAATAAACAATATTTTGGAGCACTGTTATTACCCGAAAATATGGCGAGGACATAAAATTATAAAAGGCAATGCAATATTCCTCTGCATGCAACATATTTCAAATTATTTAAATGTGCATGTTGGGCATAGAGAAAATGCCATTACAAAGAAACTGGATAACTTGTATTTTTATTCATTTTTTGCTTTTATTTTCCAGGTTTTCTATTATGTTTATGATTTAAAGAGAATATTTTAAATAATACTTTCATGATACTAGAAAAAAATAGTTTTTCTAATTTTTAAGACAAAATATTGTTCAGTTCGCCAAAATATGCTATAGTAATAAGTAACTCAACAGTTTAAAAATACTAAATAATTATTTCCTCCTCTTACTATAGATAGCTCCCTTGAGGGCCACCTGCAACTCCATTCCATGTCATAACCAGCAGAGACACAGAGACTAATGAAGCTGACTCTGTAAAACATTGCTTATCTGGAGGGAGAAAGGAAAGTCCCATGGAAAACTACATTCTGGTTCTTAGAGATTCTGCTCAGAAGTGACATATGCAGCCTCAGTTCACATTGCAGTATCTCCTTTCATAGAAAGATAGAAATATTTAAACAATCACAAATATTATGTTAACAAAATCCTTATATTATAAATGTAATATATTTTAAAGAATGTTTTAAATTTTTATTATTGTTTTCCCATAGAAAAATAATATTACTGCGGTAGGAAGCATTTAAGATGACTCCCAAGATTCCTGCCCTGTGCTGTGTGAACACTGCATACACTCCTTTCCTTGTTGGGTAAATATGATTTGTGAATAGGGTGGAATATCAATCCTGTGATTGTGCTCTGTTGTATGGCAAAAGTGTTTATTTCAGATTCATTTAAAGTCATTTAAAGATTCATTTAATTCTTTGGTTTTGAGTTAATCACAGAGAATTCATCCTGGGGAGCCTGATCTAATCAGGTGAGTCCTTAAAAGATTAGAAAGAACTGAAAGCAGAGAAGGTTTACTACTGGCCTTGATGTGGAAAACTGCCATGTTGTACAGAGGGCTACGTGCCAGTTAATGGGAGAAGCCCACAGTAGCTGATAGCAGCCCTTGGCTGATAGCCAGGAAGTGGGGATCACAGTCCTAAAGCCGCAAGAAACTAGATTCTGTCAACAATCAAAGAGCTTGCAAAGGGATTCTGAGACTCAGATGAGATTGTAGCCTGACTTGCACCTCGATTGCATCTTTGGGAGTCTCTAGGCAGAGAACCGAGATCATTTATATCCAGACTCGTAATACACAGAATGGTTTGGTAATGGGAATTGTTTTAAACAACTCAGCCTTTTGCACTTGCTATGCAGAAATATATAGCTAATACAATTACCCTGAAGACCCACATAATATTAATAATTCTAACACTAGTAATAATAGCAAAAATTAACAAAGAAAATCACAGTATCTGTTTATTTTATGTATGTGATATGGTGGCTAAACTTAGATTATGAACAAACACACTGTTTTATTAACATCAACTAATTAAACAATATGTGCTGTTTTATTTTCTTTAATAAAATAAAGAATGCCTGGGAGTTAGAGAACAATAACCTATGACTTTATTTTACTAACACCGCTAGCAGATTTACTCATTTTATGTCATCCTTGGTTTTAATTAAGGTTGTAATTATTTAAAATTTATTTTTGCACTTGCTAAAGAACACAACTTATTTTTTCAATGTTAAGTAATGAAAAGAAAGCCTACTAATGTTAGCTATACATCTTTTTATTGTAATGTATCTTTCATTTACATAAAATGAACAATAGTTAATACAGAAAAAGTTATTACATACACACAAATGGCATTCTATTTCTATTTAGGAAGAAAAAAGCTGGAATAACCATCACTCTCACCATAACAGTAAGAGAAAAGTCTGTAAAATTAAAGCTTTAAAAAAAATCAGTGAAGTGAGGTCACAGAGCAATCAATCAGCTTGGAATCTAAGAAAAGACATATGCCTCCAATGAAAGAGGAGAAAAAAAATAAAAAAGCACAAAAGGAATATAGGACTGCCATGTAAGCAGATAAGTGAAATTCAGCTACAATTTTGAAACAAATTTCTAGGGACCAATTGTATGCTAGTATGAGAATATGGAAGCCCTGAAAACAGCAGTTTGCATCTACTGGTAAGCTCTTTTCCATAAACCTTTATAGGGAGCTTATAAGAAAGACTGAGGGTAGGATAAAAAATAAGAGAAAGTTTTCATTTTTTTATTATTATACTTTAAGTTTTAGGGTTCATGTGCACAACGTGCAGGTTTGTTACATATGTATACATGTGTCATGTTGGTGTGCTGCACCCATTAACTCATCATTTAGCATTAGGTATATCTCCTAATGCTATCCCCGCCCCCGCCCCACCCCACAACAGTCCCCAGTGCAAATGAAGTATGTATGGGCCTGTAGGAGGAGTGCAGCAGCTGCTCCAGAAAAGGCATAAAGCCCTATCTGGATGATTTTGCTCTATGGAATTAAATAATTAAGGGGTTGTGGAAGGGCAGCAAGCTTTACCATACACAGAGCAAAAATACACACCAAAGGAGAGAAAAGGAAGGCAACCTTCTAACACTCAAGGAGGAGCATGAAACCATTCTGGGTCAGACCAGTAGGGATCTTCCATTGCTGGAGAAGGGACAGGATCACTGAGAAAGCCCCACACCAGATACCCAAGTGTTGTTTAAGACTGAGTCTATACAGGACAACAACAAATAGCCCCCTCATATTGTCCTTCACCAAGCACTTAATAAAGACCAAGAATATTACACTGGGTTAGGAACAAGAGTATGAAGAGAGACATTTCTAAGGAAAAGTTGTCAAGGAAAGCATAAAGGTGATGGAGAAGCAGACACTGAGAAAAACTCATTTGCAAACCATTCTTCACCCTAAGCACAAAGCAATGCTAGAGAAATTTTGATCTGTAGAGACCCTGAGAGTAGTAATGGCTGCAATAAAACTGATATTCCATTTAACTCTAAATTGATTAAACCTCAAATGCCAAAGACTTAGTCAAAAAAGATTTTTAACAATTTTTGCTCAAAACATTGCTTACTTCTGTCTCAAAGTGCCCAACACATGATTTATGCCACACAACCAAAAATTAAGAAACAAATAAAAATAAATGTACACACACACAAAACATGAAAACATTATCAAGAGACAAAACAATCAAGAGAACCAAAGCTACATATAACCTACATGTTGGAAATGCTAGAGAAGAAATTTAAAATAACTATGACTAATATATTAAAGGTTCTACATGAACAGACGATGAATTTTACCACAGAGATGGAGCATTTAAGAAAGAGTGAAATTGAAATTTTAATAAGAAAAAACGCATTAACAGAAAAAAAAACAACTTTGATATGTTTTTCAGTAAACCTGACAACAGCTAATAAAAGAATTAGTAAATTTGAAGATAGGCCAATAGAAATTACCAAAACTGAAAAATGAAGAGAAATGCTTTAAAAAGCAAGTATACCTACAAAAAGATTATGTACTACCAAAGAGGTGTGGAATAAATACTAATTATCTAACAAATTTGTTTTTGGAATCCCAGGAAAAAAACAAAGAAAAGGCTGGAAAGAGAAAAGACAACATGCAGGGAAAAAAACAAAAAACAAAACAAAACAAAAAAAAAACACTAGAAGAGATAATGGTTGAAACTTGTTTTTTAAACAAATACAAAATTTCAACTACAAAA
This sequence comes from Homo sapiens, assembly GCF_000001405.40. NCBI lineage: Eukaryota > Metazoa > Chordata > Mammalia > Primates > Hominidae > Homo > Homo sapiens. The sequence goes on along the minus strand of NC_000004.12, from coordinate 135,610,190 downwards.
CTACAAAGGCCAGAGAACATCAACCTGAATAAATATCAGTAGAATACATACCAGCACACATATCTACACACATTATTTAAAAAGCATTGAACAACTAAATTTAAATATATATATATATATATCTGGAGAGAAGCCGGAGAAAAAAGTACATATATATAGAAGAAAAAAGATAAGGCTTATAATTATAAAAATTACAAAGTGGAAAATAAATTTGTATATCACTCATTACACAACAGTTATATTATCCAAGTGAATCCCTTAGTTTTTCTCAAAAATAGAAATTGTTCAAAGATGGGATTTATAATGATTTTTAACAATTGAGTCACCTTCAATACGATTTCAGTAGCTAGTTGAAATTGCCCATAACTAGAGACTAGGTGATGTCAAATATACCTTCTAAGGAAACACAATTAATCTGCACAATCTGACTCCAATATATTTGCTTATAAAGTCAATAAAATTATTTTTTAGTGCATACTCTCTAGCATGTACCCAAAGCATTTCCAAATATTATCTTATAAAATCCTGGAAAACAGCAGAGTATATTGATAATATTACTCCCATTGTATAAATTAAAGATGGAAGCTAAAGAGAGGTACACCTGTAAGCACAACATCAAACAGTGAGGTAATGACAAAGGAGGAATTCCTGTCTTTGCTTCTAACATATCCATTCTTCTCAAATAATCTATAAATTTTTAAATATTATCAAATTTTTATTTAAATGTGTCCCTTTGGACAAATGCATTATTGTGGCAATCTCAAAGAACTTTCAGTATAAGTAACTCTGTTTAGCGGTTTGGATGATATTTCCCACCAATGATCTTCTAAATCTGTACCATGAACTGCAGGCAAGCTTCAAAAATAATTTTCACCAACTCGGGCCATCATAAGTTCATACTGCTTTTGGATCACCTGTTCTTATGTGATAGAAGTGTCTTCTCATGGTATGAAAGAAGCATGGGTCCTTTCCAGGTCGAAGAAGAACTACATGTGTGTGGATCAGGTAAGATAAGCTCTAGGGCACTTGAAACTCATTTGTAAGTGTAAAAGGGGTCTTGGAAGTGGGATAACTTGCTTTCAGTATGGTATTATTCCTGGGTTAAAAGAACCAAAATGTTGTGGTTCATGTAAGGTGTATCTACTATTGTGGATAACCATCATAGAATCAACAATCCAGAAAATTTAAGAAGGTCCCAATATTATTTCTATTATATCACAGTTAATTTACATTAAATATACTTCATTAACTATGTTCTTTCATTACATTATAAAAAAATTGCAATTTTAATTATGCTTTTTTAGCTGTCCTCTCCAAAATAAAACATTAATTATGTTATGAAATGAAGTAAAGCTGTATTTCATGAAAAAAAAGATGTATATTTAGGAACAAGAGACATTGTTGTATTATTTTTTCTCAAATTTTAGAATTACATGCAGTGTGAAATCATTTCCTATTTAGTTAAAGCTTAATTTTCCATTATCTTTGCTAATGTAATAGAACATTAGGCTAAATTATTTTAAAAGTAAATAATGTACTAATACATAGATTTTTCTAAGAGCAACAAATATTATCAACACACTATTTATATAAAAGAGGTATGTTATTTATCAATGTCTTTAAAAATAACATAAATGTTCAAATATATAATTTAAAGAATAAACTTAGTGGACACATTTGATAGAATATTATATGTGTAATTAAAAAACATTATCAAACATTCCTTACCAAATACTTGCTCTATGCAAGTTATTGTGTTAACACTGTTTAAAAAATATTAGTTGTAATCCTTATTAGAACACTGAGATGCAGGTATTACTATGCTCATTTTATAGATGAAGAAACTGAAGACTCCATGAGACTTATCAACTTTTCAAAGTCACCCAGAAAATGAAAGATTTATATATGACTCCAAAACCTCTAAAACTGAGAAAATCCAGGGAGATGGAAATTATTTCAATTAAACATAAAGCAATAAAATATAAAGGGATATACTTTATACATGTGTATATATGTGTAGTTAGGAGAGCAGCCACTTAAATTGTGATTCAAAAACATCTTTTCTCTAATCCCTGTTTCATTTCCACGTTAATTATATCTAAATGTGATGGGTTTATGGATAATTTTCCTTATCCTTTTGTATGCCTTTAGAGTATTTTTTAAAACTTTGCACTGAGCATGTATTACTACTTGTAATCATCATAATAAGCATGCTTAAAATGTGAACAAATGCATAGTGATACAGGTGTGTCTATAATTCATCATAATTAGCAGACCTGGATAATTATTTATTTTATAATAATTTGTATAGCTTCTGAGTTGAAAAGAAAATTAAGTATAGCATTGTCTGCCTCAGTTAAGTGGAGGCTGATTAGAAAAACAAGACAACATATGAAACCAAATAGCTGGATTTCCGCGAGTTATATTTTCATTAACTTTAGATAGCAACTATAACACTGCCTAACTATGCCAGGCAATTTGATTGCAAATATGCCTAGGGGAAGAGACCTCAATGCCTGAAGCCTCAAAAAACACTGCTAAAAAACAAGCTGATAGCTCCAGCCTTACTTATAATGGCTTAGTAATATATCAATCTGTAAGAGATAGGAAGAGTTATATTTTAACTTAATTACAAATTTCATCACGAAAATATTTTCATAGTTTTTCTTCTTAATAAAATCTTAGGGTTTTCAAGAAATGCCACAACTTAATTATTATTTATTATTATTTTTATTTACTTAAGGTTAATTCCATATACAAGACAATGAAATGCAAAAGAAAAGATCTCCAGAATCCTCAGTGCAGTCTTTCAGCCAGCAGACAAGAAAGAACATCTGCCATTTTCAAAATATTATTGTTTCACATCAGTTTTAGCTCATGGTAGATATAAAATCAAGCATAATCACATGAAAATGTTATTGGTAAATATCTTGATTTTTGCCTTATTTTGGTAGATATGTTCTTCAGGACTGCCCATCACTTCTTTCTTTGGGGATCTGCCTTTGCCTTACTTTTCGTCCCAAACACAGTAGAAGCACCTGAGTAAAGCCAAAGCTATCATGCCACTTTTCCTTGGAATTTCAGTCTTCTGTGGAGAAAAAAAGGGACCCAAAAGGTATTAGACTTAGCAATCAAATGAAAGTTCTCTTCGACTTGAAATTCCCGAGAGCTACTTTGATTTATGTTTTCTTCCAAAGACTGCTTGTTTTCCTCTTCTGTTTATCCTGAGCTAAATATAGCATCATTTTATCTTATCAGGGTAATCAGAGAACATCATCATATTCCACCTTACACAAATAGTCAACTTCTGTGTAGGATTTTCTACTGGGACATATAAAAAATGGGGCTTAAATTTATCCTGTAATGTAAATTATATATGTAAGAAAATATTTTAAAAAGCACTACTCAAAATCATAGCAATTATATAGATTGTAACAATCATATTCCCATGTGATATAGCAGAAATTTGAATTGGAGACTGGTGGAAAGTCAATCAGAATGTAAGTCACAGGGAACTGTGCAGGAGAAAAGGCAGTGCTACACACTGCTATTTAAAAATCCATTAAATTGTATCTATTGTTAGGTTTTAATTATTGCTGGGCTAGTTAGTATTTCTATAAATTATTTATTTTAGGAAGATGCCAATTTCATAGTTAAATTTCTGAATGTAGTGAAATCCAAGACAAAATATTATAAAACAAGTCTTTGAAAACATTAATCTTTCAGCTATTCAGAAGCTCTCCCTCTGTTCTTAGTTTTGCTCTGATAAACTCCCTTTGACTATTGGCCTTTAAAAACTAAACGCACTGGAATACTGGGTATTTTAATATGAATCCCTTACAGTAATATATGGTGTTAATTACATTGTTAGTCTTCCACAGTAGTTCACACTAAAGAAAATGAATCTTTTATACGTATAAAAGGAGTCAAGATTTTACTACTCTTGTGTCATTTTCAACTAATTTGGCTTTCACTATGATAACAAAAGATTTTTAAATGAAAATTATTGCCATTTCCTTTACTCAGTGTATAATTTTAGCTTATAAAGAGATTTCTTCTGGATTATTCTACTTGATATAAATGGAAGAGCCACACTTAGACTAAGTTTAAAATAAGAAAAAAATCTGTACTGTTTAAGTTCGTGATTTATCTGTTTGATATTATGAAGTTTGTAAAACTAATGGTTGGACTTTTTCACAAATGACAAAAAGCTATTTTCACTTATCACTTTTAGTAAATGGTTGAAAAATTATATAGGCATATAATTATATAGGCATATAATTATATAGGCATATAATTATATAGGCATATAATTTTACCAGAAACATTGTAAACATACTAAAAGGCATTAATATATCATGAATTATATTAAATGGCAAACATTTAATTTTCTAAGCATATATCTATACAAAGATAACTTCTCAATTTGTTATTGTTGTCTACAGAATGATTTCTTATAAGATAAGCATTCCATGTAAGATTCAAATTTTTTATTTTCTGAATATTTGCTAATTTTGTTTTTCTTAAAAGTATTTTTGATAAAACATCTCAGTTAAAATGATAGATATTTTTAAATATTATAAAATTATTGATTAAATAAAATTATATTCATATTGTCAGAGGCATTTGAACCAGAGAGACTCCACCTTGAGTAGCAGCTGGATAAAATAAGGCTGAGAACTACTGAGCTGCATTCCCAGGAGGTTCAGTATTCTTAGTTACAGGATGAGATAGGAGGTTGACATAAGATACAGGTCACAAAGACCTTGCTCATAAAACAGACTGCAGTAAAGGAGTCAGCCAAAACCCACCAAAATGAAGATGGCAAAGAAAGAGACCTCTGGTCGTCCTCACTGCTCATTATATGCTAATTATAATTTATTTGCATGATAAAAGCCACAACTACCAGTGCCCCAACAGTTGACAAATGCCATAGCAACTTCAGGAAGTTACCCTATATGGTCTAAAAAAGGGAGGAACCATCTGTTGTGGGAATTGCCCACTCCTTTCCTGGAAAATTCATGAATAATCCACCCCTTGTTTAGCATACAATCAAGTAGTAACAATAAGTATCCTTAGTTGAGCAGCTCAAGCTCTCAACTACTCTCTCTATGGAGTAGCCATTCTTTTATTCCTTTAATTTTTTAATAAACTTGTTTTAACTTTACTCTATGGACTCGCCCTGAATTCTTTCTTGCACAATATCCAAGAACCCTCTCCTGAGGTCTGGATTGAGACTCTCCTTTACAGTAACAATCTTTTCAACTTTTTATAAAGTATTGAGGCAAACATTGTGTCAAAATAAGGTTATACATTTAAGGAAAATCAAGCACTAAAAAAAAATTCTTTGAAGGAAGATGATGTCAGAAAGCATATTTGTAGAGCTAGACTATGTCATTTTATTTGTTAAAAAAGTATCTACCACTATATGAAGTGACTACCTTGTCTGGAGTATATGCCCTGGGGTTCATTGTTGCATGCCAGGAAAATATAAGACACGGACACAGGCAAGGAATTTAGGAGCAGAGGTTTAATAGGTAGAATAGAAGAAAAAGAAACAGTTTTCTCTATGGGAAGGGGTCTCTGAGCAGTAAAAGGACCAGCTGGTGGCAAATGCACCAAATTTTATAGTCCAGTTTGAGGAGGTGGTGTCTGATTTCCTTAGGGCTCACAGATTGGTTCGATCAAGTATGCTGTTTAGGTAGCACATGGGGGAAGGCTGTTCACCCCACCCTCATTTTCTTATAAAAATGGGCTTTCTGGTTGATTGGCGCCATCTTTTCTGCTTTTTACAGTCCATGTGGCTGTCAGAGAAGGGAAGATGGAGTCACCATCTAGAACATGTCTAGTTCTTTGTTCCTGCCAGCATTCACCTGTGCAAGCTCTCAGCTTGCTTGTCTATGTCTGCAGCTTGACTTTACAGGCCATTCTTTGTTAGAAAATGACTTGGGGCTGCTTTTCGTTAAAAAGAAAAGCCTTATTGAGGACTCCCATGCCCTCACTATATGCCTAAATAATTTCTTCTTAACTCCTATACCATTCTCCCATCTGGAGTGGTAACACTTACTGCTGTTAGGGGGTGTCAGGCAATGACTCTTTCTGGATAATTCCTGCTGAAAATAGGTGCCATGTGGGGAACAGCAGCTAGCACTCCTCCTGGGGTTGAACTAAGGGTCCTCAGAAGAAATGCATGTTAATTACCGACCTTACGAGGAAAGGAATACCAGCAAGCCAGAAGAGGACTCTGGTTATAGAATTCCCCATTCGTGGTCTTTCTAAGATGGGATTGTCATGTGCATGCACTCCCCAATCTTCTCTTTTGGTTAAATCTCCATACGAGGACATGGAAATAACAGATTGCTTTGTTTGGCCTATTCAGTATGGTGCACATTCTAAAAAGGAACCTAGGTTAGGGATGTACCCAGATGATGCAGCCATGCCAGTGAAATGTAAAAATAATAGGCCAGGCACAGTGGCTCACGCCTGTAATCCAAGCACTTTGGGAGGTCGAAGCAGGTGGATTACAATGTCAGGAGATTGAGACCATCCTGGCTAACATGGTGAAATCCTGTCTCTACTAAAAAATACAAAACATTAGCTGGATGTTGTGGCAGTCCCAGCTACTTGGGAGGCTGAGGCAGGAGAATGGCATGAACCCAGGAGGCAGAGCTTGCAGTGAGCCAAGATTGTGCCACTGCACTCCGGCCTGGGCGACACAGCAAGACACAGTCTCAAAAATAAATAAATAAATAAATAATAATAATAATAAATAAAAATAATAGGCGAGGAATCACTCCTACTACAATGCAGGTTCCTTTCAATGCCTAGGGAGGATTAAGTGTAGCCAGGAGCCACAAAGGAAATATAAACCTGTCCTTGAAGTGATGGTTCTAAGTTGTGACTTGTGAGGGACACAGGCAGATCTTTCTCATCTCTTAGAAGCTTTCTCCTCTTACATATAATAGAAGCATCTTTGGGACAGGGTTACCCATACTCAGGATAGTCATTCACAATGCCGTTTAGAATCTTACATGCTAAATGAGAAAGTTCCACCTGACAAATGGAGTTTCAAAAAATTGGGGATATAATATGCACTGTCCAATATCTCAGATGATCCTTGTGGCAAGGGATATTGGTCCAGATGTCTCCAAGTTTCTCACAGATTTGTAGGACACTACTATTAGCAAACATCATACAAGGGTCTGGAATTCCATGAGGTGGCTTGTTTGGAAAGGCCTGTGTGTTATTCTTTACATTATAGTCAAGGTGGTTACTTAGATCATGCCAGTCCCACTGGGACTTCCAACCAGAAGGAGAGCCTAGATTCTGAATGCCCCTCAATACGGGTGATCTCCAAAGATCACCCTTATTGTGCTTTCCTCACCAAATCTTTGAACTATCAGCAATTACGAGTGTCATGTTACATTATTTGAGATCTCCCAAATATGGTCCTTTCCCGCTGCTTTTAAAGCAGAGGAAGGCATCTGTTATTACCTGGTCAACTTTTCCAAGCCTGAGGGTGTGAAACTCACCTTTGGCGAGAGTGTTCTTTGGCACTGGAAACATGCGTTTCCTGAGAGGAGTTAGTTACCCAGTTGAAAGTGCTCCCATACCATGTCACATTTATGCCTGATAAGTCCTTAAGTGTTAAAGGTGAGACTAACAAAGGGAATCCTAAGACAGTAAGTTCTGAGTCATTTGAGAGGTTCCTTAGTGTGATCGAACTGAGCAAACCACTCAGGACAGACCCAGCAATTAGTTTTGTTGTACAAAAGGCCAATGCTGATATTGCAGGAGCTAAAAGATGTGATGTATCACCAAACCCAATAAAAAGTCCTAGCAGAGCTGATAGTAAAACTTTCAAGCCTCTTTTTTTTGGTAACTATTATCCCTGCTATAAAGATAATAATTAAGCAAAATACTACAGCAATGGAAACTTTCTTTCCAGTATTTCAGTTAGAAGGTGCTACTGCGTATAGCTCTACTGCAAATAGTAGAGTGAGTATAGCAATTTCTGCAAGGGTAATGTAGTAGATTAACTCCATCTGAAATTTTACTTGCAAGATGAGAATTTCCCTTTGGGGGTCTATAAAGTTCCTTTGTTTTATTTTCCCAAACGAAAAGAACCTCTGTGTTATGGGCACCCTACTCACTTTTATTACCTGGCAAAATTTGCAGAATAATTGATCTAGATATTTACATTACCCATCCCTTTTTGTTTCCTACAAGCTGCAGGAGATCACCACTTGATTCACAAAATAAGCAGTGTTAGTCTAAAATATAGACAAAAGACTTAAAAACAATGAGACTAGGATTTAATGACAAATGTGTGATCAAGTTTGGAGCATAATTTCTACGTCCAGTTCTCATTTTTGGCAAAAACAAATTATGACAGAACTGTGTTTTTCATAGAATAAACTTTAGTCTCATAATTGGTCTGATTATTTGTATAAAGTGCAGCAAAAATGTTTATTTCTACATAGTCCTTTTGGATTGGCTTTGATGAAAGTCTGTTCCTCAAAGAATCTCAGATAAGATATTTTAAAGCTGAGTCAAGCCATGGATTTGTATCCTCAAATACATATGAATTGGGTAATCCTATTCTCTTATGGTCCCAAGATAAACTTGGAGTTGCTGGACCTGTTAGAAAGCGACATTCTTTACTGACCACAGGTTAGGAACCCTGTGCAGGGATTGTGTAGAAAAGGTATGAGGCCAGTTATCTCCATGGGGCTTTTATCAGCTCTACAAGTCAAGATTGATTCCTTAAAGGGAAGCATACCCTTCCAGTCAAAGCTTTGATGAAATAACCAGTTTTTTCCAATTGTGTCCAGTTGAAAAAGAAAAATGGATTCCTCTTGCCCTGTTGCAAACAACTATGTTGCTATAAGTTAAGATTACTCACAGATAATTTCCAAATTTCAGAGGAACCAGGCAGAGAGAAACAAACATGCTCCAAATGTTGTCCACTGGAATATAACTCACTTAATTATTAGAGGCCTAAATAGCTCAAAATAAGTTTCCTTGACTCTGAAAAACAAAACAAGGATCAGAAATATTCCAAGAAAAAGTCAAAAAGGTTGCTTTAACTTTCTGAGTGCAGTCCATTTAGTTAACTACTATTTTGTTTGATATTCGTGAACATGTCAGTTCTTTATGAGTCCCATACATTCTTTCTCTATTCCCATGTTACAATCTTCAAAGCTATTTAAAATATAAAGTCCTACACCTTGATTTTAAACCATCTTTTGAGAAGGAACGAAGCAAGACAACAATTATCTGTGAACGACAAAATTTCCAGAGTACTTATAGTTAAAAATATGACTTACAAAGAAGTTTAGTTATCACCATGGTTTACAATAACTTTAACCTCAACTATGATTGATAGCATATACTCAGAAAAAAAGCTAAAAAAAAACTGGACATCATTTTGGCAATCTCATGTGACTAAACATGTCAAATAATCATTTTTACCTCTTCTCTGAATGTTTCAGGGGCCCTCTGAACCATCCAGAAAGCCAGGCATCAGGAAAGACAATTTTGAAACTTGAAGTTTGATTTTGGGATGCCTGTTAAATGTTAGAGGTTTAAAACACTTGATGTTATGAAATAGAATTCCAGATTGCCATAAATTATTTATTTTGCCAAAATTATGACTCAGAAGGCAAAAACCTTCTATTACCCTTTACTATTACGTGAAAATCCTGTTCAAAGCCAAATTTTACCCTTGCATTAGTTTATTATGTTTAACCACCTTTTGATAAAACCTCATAGAAAATTCCATCTAAGCTTAACAAATTTGACCATGAGGTAAAATATTTATAAACCTTTTATAAACCCTTTTGCAAAAGGGCAGATTAGCCTCTTAAGACAACCTTGCTGTGTTTTTATTTCAGTGCTCAATTTATGAAAAGACCATATAATACCCTTTTGAATTTAATGTTTACACATTTTTGCAAGATTAATTTTTACAATATTTCCACAATTTGCTTAAATCTTTAGTTTTATCATATCAAATTTAACATCATCCTTCATCACTGGGCAAAATTTACATTTCCATGCTTTCTTATAATCTTTTACTAGAAAACACATTTTACTGTTTTCATACACCTTGTATATAAGACTGTTTAGTGATCTCAAATAAATGTTGCACTGTTAACTCTTAGCAACTTTTACTTTTGGTGAAAAACCTTGTGAATAAGTGGTTTTAATTATTTATGAAGTGTGGAGCCTAGGACTCAGAAAGAAGTGAAGATAAGGTCTGACTCTTTTCAGCCTCTAGTTCCACAAGTCCCAGGCCTTACCTATCTGAAAAGCAGGCAGAATACAATCTGGGAACATTTAACAAACCTAGTATCTAAGTTGAATGATTTAGACCACCTATTTGCATTTTGATAGCTCTTGCATTTTACCAGTAATCCTGAAGAGTATCTTTATTTCTTAAAGACAAAAATCACATGAACTAAAAAGTATTTAAGTGCTTATTTTTCTTCAAGCCCATCAATTAGTGTTCTTTTTATAGACATTACACACAACACATATATAGTGACACAAACACAAGATTCAACACTTGTAAGATTTTTTATTTGCCGGTTTCTTAATTGGATTACTGGCATCAGGGTGGAAACTTTAGAGGAAGAGAGCCAGGTAGCATGCATTTCTAGGGCCTAATAAGCAGGCATAGCAGAAGGTAAAAACAGATCCCTAAAATTAAAGGTGCCATTTTATACCGAATTTTGGATCTCCAAAAAGCAGGAGCTACTATAGAAGAAGTCTGTGTAGTGCTTCTACCATGAATTTCACTGCAGGACAACCCAAAGCCAGTTGGCTTATTTTGTAATTAGCCCATCCTCCATGGGAGTCTTATCTCTCTGACGGGGGTGGGGACGTTTCCATATCTTTTGGGTGGCCAAGAGCATGCCTCTCTGATTTATAACTACTATTTGCCATCCCTTAAAGTGTATTTCCTACCTAGTTATTACACAACAAAGCTCTCTCCTAATGTGAAGTAATTGGATACCCCAAAAACTCAAAACAGATAACAAAATGCAAAACAGAACCAAGCCTTTGATTTTGAGAGAGAAGTATCTGCCTTTAATTCCTTGGGTTTTAGGAGGAAAACAGAGGGTTTTTTCCCCAAAATGGAGTCTGTTGCACCTCCTTTGTTTTTCCCAAAGAGTCCCATCATACCAGAAGTTATCTTAGGGCCTCTCATTAAGAGTATTAAGAGTGGCAAGTCAAAAAAATTGAGAAAAATAATTCAATCAACCAAGAAGAAGAAAACTTATTCCAGAAAAACAAGATCCAAGAAGAGAAAAACATAGAGGCCTTTAAATATACCTATAACTTGAATATCCATTTTTAATTAACCTAAATACTCTTTAAGAAAATTTCTTTAAGTCCCTTGTTAAATGACTTTAGCCATGCCAAGCAGTTAAGATTTTCAGCTTTGAATTTTACAAAAAGTAACCTCACAAGTGAAATGCACAAGCCAAAATTAGGTCATGACTAAACCACGAGTGTGCAAGGTATTTTCAAAGGGGCAATAGGCAGCTTGAGAAAGACTGCAAAATTGTGACTGAGATAGTGAAAGGGATACGACCCAATCAACTCCATTTTGTTTCCAGCCCCTAAGCTGTCCTTGCCCTTCCCTGGGCATAGGCAAAACCAACTTTGGGAGAAGACTGATCTACAGTTTATTGTCTAAAACAAATATGATAATAGCTCTTCTTAAGAATATTTTCCTCTTGCCTGGGAACCAGACCAAGAATCTAGCCACAAGTTTAGAAAAAGAAACCATGGCCTAGGAATCACACAGCTGGAGGCTCCAAGATTTTGACCCTCTGTTTACTGCTCTCAAGATCAGTGCTTAAGATATTTTGTATACCCTACCCTTGATGGATTAGCTGGCCTGACACAGATTGATAAACTGGCTTATCTAATTTGGTGGCCCTCACCCAGGAACTGACTCAGAACAAGAAAACAGCCAGCACTGTAAAATGGCAAAGACTAAAACGAAGTATTGGGTCATGTTCCCAAGGACATGAAACAGGATGGAGGCTTATAGCCACGTTTATTACTGACCATTCTGCTGGGCTGGCTTGAACAGTAGGCTTATGGAGTCCTGGGTCTCCATCCTAACCTAAGGTATCCTTTCTTTTGACAGAACCATACAGAAAGACACACAAAGTATACCAGATTGGCTATAGCTTAAGACCAACCTCACAAATCCTTTTTCACTAATTAAAACTGTACAGAGAATATAAACAACAATCCTTATTATCCCTTTTGCCGGTTTGCATGGGGAGAGAGAAACCAAAAGCTCGACTGGTTAAAAAAAAAAAAAAAACAAACTTTTACCTTCTTGCCAGCATGTCAGGCTACTAGGTTCCCTTCACCTGAGATTAACTCTAAGCCAAACATTTTAAGGTTTGGTGAAATTAACTCTTTCCATGTTGAAAGAACATTATAAAAAAGCCAGTTGAAACTGTAAAAGAAGGAAAAACACCATAGAAAAGCCTGCGGGTTCCAATTAAGGTTTTCAAGAGGTACTGCCATTTTTCCTATTGAGTATGGTGTTTCCCCTATTTCTTTGCCTTTCCTATTTTCTCTTTTCTTTTAGGCCTACTATAGGAGACATATTGCGCATCTCTGAATTTTTCTGCTGCTTACAGAGCCACCTGCTTCTCAGCTGTGGTTAGGATTTTGGTTTAGGAACAGCATAACATCCCTCCATGAGAGGTCAAATACCTGAGTTAAATTTTGGAAAGCTTCTTTATAAATATCAAGGTCATTAGAACGTCAGCCTAAGTCTCTTTTTACTTGCTTATGGTCCTGTAATGATAAGGGAACTTGAAGGGCCCCCATATATGGCGATCCTCAGATGGTACCTCTGGAAGTTGCTTCTCTAACTTTGGGGAATTATTCTCTTTAGGCTGCCTGATAGGACTGTGAAAAAAGCTGAGTTGATGTTGCAATGTTTGCAAAGGTCTGGTAAAAAGGTCATGAACTTGTGTAAAAGAAAATGAGACACTTTTTCTTTAAAGTCTCAGGGTGAAAGGAGTCCCAGTGCTTCAGAATGAACTCCAGGGGAGTGCAGGCTGAAGATAGCACCCATCTAGAAAGAGAAGTGAGAAAAAGGTGTTCCTATAGTCTCCTTCCTTTTGGTATGACCCAGGGTGGAGTGGAAGACAATGGAGGTGTCCCCTCTGCTGTTTTCTCTCCATGGTTCCTGGGTCCCAGTACCTTGCTGAACCTGCCACTGATGGTTGCAGGCATGAACCCCAGCCATGCAACCAGAGGAACTAGGTTAGTCATGCTTGCCCAAGTAGCTCTAGTTCTCTGCCTGTGATTTCCCTTTGAATTCCTAGACTTGTTTGACCCCCTGACTGCTTGAAAAATGGATCTCAAGAAAAACTATGTAATAGTTGAGCAAGGCCCCTTTAATGGAGGTGGTGTGCAGATTGAAGCCTATGTCCTGATATTATGGCCCATGTTGAAGGGTTTACCCTTAAAGCATGGTTCTGATTAACTTCTGAAGTTAAAAATCCCCTTACCAATTAAGTACCACTCTAATTGGAGGCAGAATATGTGCCTCAAAAGAATGTAGGGACCAAATGGCCATTTTCCTGCTGATGGGACAGTATTGAGACTTTACCCCTAATTGTTGAAGTCAGAATTTTCCCGTTTACAGAAGCAGCTTGAAGCCTGGTTTCCAGTAGAGAGGCACAAAAAGGGGAGAGATTTGGAGGCTAGGGTGTTTCAGTGAAGGACCAACAATGTGCCTCATGGACAGGATCCCTATTCCAGTAGGTAGACCAGTACTCTAGACCAAGGGCAGAGTGACATTCACATGCCATGTGCTCCAGAACAAGGACAGAGAGAGACCTAGAAACATTGAGTGCTCTCCAGACCAAGGACAGAGAAAGACCTGGAAATGCCATGTGCTCTCCAGACCAAGAGCTGAGAGAAAAAGAGATGCTCACTGTGTGTGTTGGGTGGGGGAGAACCCTCTGTTTCTAGAATTAAAAAAAGATATCTTCCCTTGAGTTATATCCCCAGTTACTACGACATTCCCTGATCTTACCAAACAAGATTATTTCCCTGAACTGTAGAAGTTCCTGAACACTGCATACACAGAGAAAGTAAGGAATATTATGGTCATGAGCAGGAAAGAAGGAAATTACAATAGGAAATTGTATTGCCTGTTGCCGACACCCCATCAAGGCAGTTAGAGGCTGGGGTCAGTCCAGAGGCCTTTGGATAACCCTTGGGGGTATCCCGGGCCAGAAATCCTCAGTTGCCTCAGGACTTCTTCCAGTCCCATTCAATGGCTAAGTCCTCTGTGAAAAGAAGCTTGTTAAAGCATGGCCAATATGCCCAGCAACCCGTGGTTACCAGGGGATTCTCCATGTTCTCCTCAGCAAGCCTTTCCCTCAAGTCTTGTAAGGCTGGCAGCCATGCTAATTGTTTTTAAATGGCTGAAGCGGGGGCCAGTAATTGGTTTAATTCAGTTCTAAAATGGAGGCCAAAAGCTTCAAAATGAAAAAGACAGAGTTGGCGTCCACTTCTCTACTCACTGTTTTAATGAATGTTATACCTTGGTATCCCGGACAAGTTCCCCATTATGAAGTGGCTATATTGTCTGGGGTATATACCCTAGTGTTCATTGTTGCTTGCCAGGAAAACTAAGGAAACATACACACATGAGGAGTTTAGCAACAGAGTTTTAATAGGTAGAAGAGAAGAGAAAGATAAACAGCTTCCTCTATATAGGAAGGGGTCTCCAAGTGGAAAAAAGATCAGGTGGTGGCAAATTTTCCAAATTTTATAGTCTAGTTTGGGGAGGCAGTATCTGATTTCCATACGGCTCACAGTTCCTTTGATAAGGCCTGATGTTTACATAGCATGTAGGGAAAGCTGTCTGCCCCACCCTAATCTTCTTATGCAAATGGGTTTTGTAGTTGATCAGTGCTATCTTGTCTGCTTTTGATAGTACACATGGCTGGCAGGGAAAGGAAGATGGAGCCACCATCTTAACATGTCTGATTTTTAGTATCTGTGAGCATTCACCCGTAAAAGCTCCCAGCTTGCTTGTCTATGTCTGCAGCTCAACTTTACAGGCTGCTCTTTGTTAGAAAACGATTTTGGGCTGCTTTTCATTAAAAGGAAAAGCCTTACTGAGGACTCCTATGCCCTTACTATCTTCCTAAATAATTTCTTCTTAACTTCTATATCATATACACCCATTAAAAGTGCCAAAAGCCAGAACACTGACAACACCAAATGCTGGCAAATATATGGAGTAACACAAACCCTCATCCATTTCCTGTGGGAGTGTGAAATGGCATAGCCATTTTGGAAGACAGTTTGTCAGTTTCTTACAAATCTAAATATACTCTTAACCATATGATCCACCATTCACACTTCCTGGTAATTTATCCAAAGGAATTGAAACTTATGTCCACAAGAAAACCTGCACATAGATTTTTATAGTAGATTTATTTATAAAAGCTAAAACTTGGAAGTAACTAAGATGTCTGTCAGTAGATGAATGAATAAATAAACTATGATGCATCCAGACAGTGGAATATTATTCAGCACTTCAAAGAAATGAGCTGTCAAGCGATGAAAAGACATGGAGGAACATTGGATGCATATTACTAAGTGAAAGAAGCCAGTTTGAAAAGGCTACATACTATATGATTCCAACTAAATGACACTGTGGAAAACACAAAACTGTGAAGACAGTAAAAGGATGAGTGGTTGTCAGGGGCTTGGGGGAGGGACTGATGAATAGATGCAGCACAGAAAAATTTTAGGGCAGTGATAATACTGTGTATGATAGTTAAATGGTGAATTTATGTCACTATGCATTTGTCCAAACTTATAAAATATACAACACCAAAAGTGAACCCTAATGTAAATTATGGTCTTTGGGTGATGATGTGTCAACAGGAGTTTGATTGTACTAAATGTCTCATCCTGGTGGGAGATGTTCATAATGAGAAACACTATTCATGTGTTGGGGCAGGTGGCATATGAGAACTCTGTGTACTTTAGACTCAATTTTGCTGTGAATCTAAAATTGTACTAAAAAAACATGTTTAAAAGTAGCTGTAAATAATTTTTGTGTTTCTGGACTGAATAACATATGGAAGATAATTCAGGATTATATAAGAAAATAAATACTAATGGAATTGATGAAGAAAATATTAATATCTAATGTTTTATCACAGCCCAGGTCTTTGTATCACCGAACATACCATTTAACAAAAATTACCCAGATATATAAAAAGAAAGTTAAACTTTCATTAATGACATATTATCAGTATCAGTCTATGTGTAGCCATAATTTATTTTATCATTTATACCTGACTAATTAAATTATTCATTCATTTTAAATAACATAATGAATACCTCTGAATGCAAGATTCAACCAGTGACTACAACATCACCAGTAGCCTATATTAACCTGTGTACACAGCTAAAAGGATTCTGTATAGGGTCTTTTCTCACTACTTCCCACCTACCCTCAAGATTTAACTTGTATCCTAAATTTTGTCTTAATTATACTTTCTGGATTTAAAATATTTAAATAAATTATTTACTCTTGCTAACAATTGGATTTTATTACAATAATTTTATATTATATATAGTCATTGGGGTTTGCTTTCTGTATTCAACAAAATTATTATGAAGTTCTGTTCATATATTTTATACGTAGCTTTAGCCTAGGCATTTTAGCTACTATATGTACTTTGGTAATATACCACATATTTATTAATTCTCCTATCAAAGACCCTTTGTTGATTATCTATTACAAATTTTGTTTTGAACCTATTCATATATAATTTCCAATCAACATATGCATAATTATGTCTTTAGGTATCTACCTAGAAGTAGAAACTTTGAGTCAAGAAGTGAGAAATATTTCAGTGTTACAATGACAATGACACTCTGTTTTCCAAAATGGTTGTAAAAAAGATTTTATTGATCCACATTCTTTCTGATATGGAACATTTCCAGCTTACTTAATTTCTTCAAATTGAATATGTGTAAAATATTATATTGTGGTAGATACATTAAATTTTCATTCTTTGGTTATTGGTGTGGTAGAGCACATCTTCATATGTACAGTGCTTTTATCTGTCTTTTCCTTTACGCAGTATCATTTCATGATTTTGCAGTGTTCCATTAGCCAACCAAACAGTAGAAATCTTTCCGGTTTTCTTGATAAAATTATTTGTCAATTATAGGTGCATAGTTTCTTACTTTGACATACTGATATAGTTAATAAATAAAACACACAAGAATTAACCATGAAAGAAAAAAAAAGTAGATAAATGTATGAAGAATAAACAATGTTTGAAGAATAAGGAATTCTGTTTACCAAAAGAAACCTACATAAAGTAAACAGATAAACTACAAACTGAGAAAGAATATTTTCCCAAATGTATTTAACACAACCAAATATATTATAAGGTCTCCTTGACCTATCTTCAAATGGGGGGCAGTAAAGTTTAACTTAAATGTCTGGAAGAAAAACAGAACTGATATTACCTGTTGGAATTCTTCACCACAGTTTGAATTAGTAACATGTTTATAGAATTAACTGCTCAAAATTTTATATGGGAAGGAAAAACAGAGCTGAAGTCGATGCCTATTTATGGAATTCACATAGAATGTTAACAAAGGGAAGATAAGATTGGTTTAGAGGGAAGCTAATTAATTTAGGGATATTAATCATACTATATTTTTTAGGACATCCAAGAGAAGACAGAAGATCACATTTGGATAAGATTGAAATTATTATTGATACACGGGCTGATGTATAACTAAACTTGTGGTAGTTGAAGAAATTATCTAGATTGACTGCTGTGAATATTACATTTGAACAAAATAGAAAAATTGGACATTTAATTGTTATTGATATGTGGACTCTGTATAGATATACTAAACTTATGGTAGCTAAGGGATTGCCTAGAATGACTATGATGAATGTGAAGCATAGAACACAAAAAGAAACACAGGAAAGAACTCTGAGGAACACAATCATTGCTCAGTAAAAGCAATTTACTAGCAGTCATGAGAACATTTGGAGGGAAAGTAAGAGACAGTTATGATGCCAGAAAAGCCATAGAGAGAATATTTTAATAAGCAAATAGCAGCATCAAATAATGAGAGGTAAGGTAACTAAAATACTGGGTGTTTCCATTAGTTTAGCCAAAAAAAAAAAAATCATCTGCAATTTCAGTGGATTAAGGATATGCCAGGAGGTAAGGATAACATATAATCATGTCATCTTTTAAGTATTTAAAGCAGTATATATGCATAATATATTATTTTAAGTCTTTTATCAGAGAAATTTGAAAAGGTATGATTCCTCTTCTATTTCTAGCTTTCAACTGTTTCTGAATTTGTTTCACACAGATTATCAATTCTGATTTTGTAAAGCATGAAGATGGTGATTTCAAATCACAACTTGATTTTAATGATACATGCATAAATAAATGATGCAGTGTAAATATCTTAGCTGAACTGAACCATTTTCTCTCTGCTTGCATAGAACGCTTTATGTGGTTAGGTAGAAAACAGAAAGAATAAACAATCTATTATTTAACAAATTGTGAAATCACAGCATTTTAAGATTCTAATTTAAATTCATAGGAATAAATAGCTGCTTTTTATCATATCAAATAGAGAAAGTAATAACTTCAAAGGTTTAGCTGAATAATATTGGTTTAGATTATTCTGTAACCATATCTCATTATTTGGAATTGGATATAGAATAATAATAATGGAATTTATTTTTTTACTTAACAAATGTTTACTAAGCACTCACTTGTATTCTAGGCACTATTCTATTTCTAGGAACAAAATTATAAACAACGGAGGAAAAAAAATTCTCTTATGGAGTTTCTAATCCAAGGTTAGATCTTGACAACAAAGAAGTACATACACACACTCGGTCACACTCACATCCACAGACATGTGCATATATACTTTTATATTTGTATGAAGTGATACATGCTACGAGAAAAAATAAAGCAAAATAAGGGAGTAATGAATGTTGTGGGTCTGTGTTTGTAAAGGTATGTCATTTGAGGGTGCGAACCAGCAAAGACTTTGGAGAAGTGTGAACAGCAACTTCAAAAGCCCCCAAACAGAGACAACCTTTACATGTTTGAGATCAAGAAAATCAATATGATTAAAGCACGCTGATCAAGAGTGAAATCCAAAGGAAATTACATCATCCTGGTAGGTAGAGAAGATAATAGATGAGGGATTGTATGTGGGAGCAGTTATATTTTGATTGGGAGAGGTTTTATAGGAAATGTAGTTTGAGAGATCAAACTGAAAAGGGTGATTACTTGGGAGGTTTTTGCAAACCTCCAGGCATGGGTGATTATGGCTTTGATGAGTGTGGCTGTGGCTGTGGTGGCAGTGATGAAAACTGGTGGGATTCAGGGAATATTTTGAAGTTAGAACTAATAGGATTTCCTGAGAGACTGTATGTTGATATGAAGAATGATTCCTACATGTTTGATCTGTTAACTGGATAAAGATGATGTCATTTACAATTATAGATAGTTTGAAGAATAAATATTTTTAAGAAAAAAAGTTATTTCAGACATTAATTTTTAGATATTATATTCATAGAAGTGTTCTAAGTTATGCTGCAGTGATTAATTTACCCCCAAATCTTAACAGTTTTTTGTACAATGATAAGTTTCTCTCACAGAAATTTTTCAATAACGTAGGGCCTTGGTGAAAGCAGATACTACCTTTTAGTAGCCATAGCATCTTGAGAAAGCTTTCTCATTCTTTAATGCAGGAGAACATAATACAAGGAGATCTCACATTCATTCTTCTGTGTTTAAGTGTAAAAGTCACACGCATTTTTTTTTCTCAGATTTTTGTCTTGAAGTGGTCATAGGGGACTTCCCAAATGTTAGGGGCTAGGTAATGTAGTCTTTCATGTTCTCAGGAGAAGAATAATTAAAATTCAGTAGCAGCTTCTAGTGCAGATGTCTATAAACATTCAAATAGAACTATATATTAGGCAGTTGAATACAGAAATATAAAGCAGGGGCGTGGTTAGAGCTACAGATATAAAAGTGAGATATAACAACGTGTAAATATTATTTAAAGCTGATATTAGATGACCTTCTAGATAGTGAATGTAAGTAGATAAAAGAAGCCAAGATTCATTTTCAGATACTCTGTTTTTTTCAATTGAGAAAAGAAAAGTTAAGTTGTCAATTACACAGAAAACCAGCTGTTGAAAACCAGGTGAAGGAAAACTAGGGGTCTGGGATAGCCCAAAAACCAAGTGAATACAGAGTCTCAAAGGAGAGAAAATAGTAATATTAATAAATGTTGCCTGGATATAAAATGAAGAGAATGCCACAATTAAACATTTCATATGGCAAGATAGAAGTCATTAAGGACCTTGATAAAGAGTAGTTTAATAGACTTCTTCGAAACAAAGCCTAATTATTGTAGGCTCAAGGGAAAATAAGAAGTAAATAAGTGAAAAAGTGAATACAGACAAATGAGGTAGCCATGCAAAGCACTTATCACCATGCCTAGAGTCTACTGTAAACACTCAAAAAATTAGGTATTTTTATTAATAGCAGTATTATTTAAATGTGTAATTTTAAACCTGGGGAGAAATAGGGCAGTAGTTGAAAAAGGGATATGAAGTACAGATTTTATTATTATTATTTTTTACAGGAAAATTCTAAACATGTTTTTATGGGGACAGGAACAGTCAATAGGGAAATAAAAATTGATTATTTAAAATATCAATGGGATAATTGCAGTAAAAAAAAACAAATTTAATTATGTGAGAGGGAATAGTATTATCTAGTACATAATTAGAGGGGGTGATAACCCTAACAGATAAAATTCATGCAGTACAATAGGAGGAAATAAAAAATATATGAATAAATTTATAAATGGGTTATAAAATGCTGTGGAAGGGGTGGTAATATATTTCAGATAATATTTATTTTTAATAAAATTTTAAATAGTGTAACAAGCTACAATGTAGGAAGTTGGTGATAGCAAGTTCAAGAAAGAAGAAAAGGTATGAAATGTTACACTGAAAAATGGGACAATAAATTCACAAGAAAACCTATGCAGTGTTGACGACCCATTTTGCATTGTGATTCTTAGTTTAACAGTTTTGTTTCACACACATTTACTTATACTAGGGAAAAGCTAAAACATGAAGAAAATTGAATCTGAGCATTGTTTAAATATATCAAAAACATTGAGTAATAGAGACAGGGACAAGTGAGTCAAGAATGCTTGAAGTGGGTAATTACAGCAGTGAGCAATTGTGCTTTGGCTATGTACTGATGGAAATGAAAATATAGGGAAACAAAAAAAATGAAATATAGTAGAGTCAGCTGGACGTGGTTGCTCACACCTGTAATACAGCACTTTGGGAGGCAAAGGCAGGAGAATGGCTTTAAGCTCGGGAGTTTGACACCAGCTTAGGCAACATGTCAAACCCTGTCTTTACGAAAAATGGAAAAATAAGCTGGGTGTGGTGGTGTGTGTCTGTAGTCCCAGCTACTCAGGAGGCTGAGACATGAGAATCGCTTGAGCCCAGGAGGCGGAGGTTGCAGTGAGCCACGATTGCACCACTGCACACTAGCTTGGGTGACAGAGTGAGACACTGTCCCAGGAAAAATAATAATAATAAAAAGAAGGAAAGAAAAGAAAAAAGAAATATAGAAAAGACAATGATTGTGGATCTATTATTACTGGCAGTATCTAGAGTATAAAATACCTAGAGTTGCTAAAGAAGGACAGAAGAAAAGGCATTTGGAATTTAAGTGTCAAGGGAGTGGAATCTAGTGTGTTGAATGTTGTTTTGTCTGGATGTTTAGGTTACTATTATCGTTAGAAAGGATGTGGTCAAATGTTAATAGGTAGTGTTAGAGAGAATGACAAAGAACAAGAACAGAAAACTTCAATCAATATGAGTGAATGACCTGGTGATAGGTAGATAACAAATACGTTTTGGTAAATCACAGTCATTCAGCTTGTCACTCAGTAGAGCTAGACTTTTTAATGGGAGAGGCAGGAAAACATGAAATCAATTATAAGAAATGAGAATATCTATAT